>NC_000002.12:61099443-61402473 GCF_000001405.40 Homo sapiens
TTCTAGTTGGTGCTACTGGATAGCTGGTGGTGCCATTCACTGAAGAGGAAGCAGCAGACGGAAATCAGGTTTCGAGGGAGACTCGTGAGTTCTGTTTTGGACATTTTGAGTTTGAGATGCTTTCTGAGATAACCAGGCAGAGGCCGTTAGATATATGAGTTTGGGAGCTCAGAGAAGTGGCTAGGCTGGAGATAATAACTCATAAGTTTTCTTGCAATAGATGATAGTTAAAGCCAGCAGGTATAGGTGAGTGTATGAAGAGCAGAGGGAAACTACAGCTATGGCTGGGTGAAGCAGCATGAGCCTGCAAAGGAGAATGGTCAGGGGCAGCCAGAATAATGGGAGGAAAATTGAGAATGTTGCCATGAAAGTTGAGGGAGTAATATTAAAGAAAGAGTGGACTGTGGTGCCTAATACTGCTAAGAGGTCAAATAAAATAATGAAAGAACTGTGTCCTTTGGCCTTAGTGACAGGGAATTCATAGGTGTGAAGAGCTATTTTGGTGGAGTGCTAGATCCAGAAGCCAGGTTTTTATGGGTTGAGAAGTGAGTGAGAGATAAACAAATGGGAACAGTATAAATGACATTTCTTTTGGGAAATTTGAGAAAGGGAGGAGATAGATTAGTAATTTAGGTTATGAATATTTGTTTAGTGTTTTGGGGGTTTTTCGTTTGTTTGTTTGAGAAGGAGTCTCGCTGTTGCCCCGGCTGGAATGCAATGGCACGATCTCAGCTCACTGCAACCTCTGCCTCCCGGGCTCAAGCGATTCTCCTGCGTCAGCCTCCCAAGTAGCTGGGATTACAGGCATGTGCCACCATGCCTGGCTAATTTTTGTATTCTTAGTAGAGATGGAGTCTCACCATATTGGCCAGGCTGGTCTCGAACTCCTGACCTCAAATGACCTGCCCATCTGGGCCTCCCAAAGTGCTGGAATACAGGTGTGAGCCACCGTGCCTGGCCTTGCTTCTGTTTTGATACCAGAGAACGTTTTAAAAGTCAGTGGGAAGGATCCAGTTGAGAAGGAGAGGTTGATGGTATAAGGTGAGAAGGCACGGTAGGGTGGGATCTTAAGCACATTTAGTGGTATTAATTTCGACAAGAGGGAGGACAGCTCCTCTATTATAACAGGAGAGAAGAGTAGAATGGTTGTAGATATTAGTAAAATTCTGTTTTTGTCATTTAGATGATAACTTAATTCCAATCCAATGCTTTTTCTGTTCTCTAAAAAGTAGATTAAGCCAGCCACTAAGAATAAGGGGGAAGACAGAAGGTTCCAGGGTTTGAGGGGAGTATGGAAGGTTTGAAATAGTATTTTGAAAAACAGGAGAGTGAATTTTCCAGAGAAAATGTATACTCCTGGGAAGTTTGAGAGCTCACTGGAGATTGGCAGTCATAAATTCACAATATAATTCAACATGCCTGTTTATATCACTCTCTCCAGTAACCCTTGTCTGCGTGAGTACAGGCAGGGAGAAGATGGGTAGTTGAGTTTATCTAGAGTTAGGATTTTGCCAGATGGGGATGATGAAATTTAGGGGCAAGGAATTTGGGATATTGGCGTGAATGTTACTGAATGATGGGTCATGGAATTTTAACTGCATTAGTTTTCTTATATTTGCAATCGGTCACCAACTTTGATTACTTAGAAGTTTTATTGGTGAGGTAATGGATTACTTACATAACATTCATACTTAAAGTTTTAGTTATATATTTTACATACAAAGATACTTAAATTGGGCATGAGACGTTAAGCAAAATTAGATTAGCTTTGCTAGACCCAAGATATTTCGTTAATTCATCATTGCTATTATGTTTGTTTCAGTAACATGATTTTTTAGTCTTTACAGTTCTTTCTAACCACATTAATTTCTAACCACATTAATTTCTACATTAATTTGTAACCACAAATTTACATTTGTGGTTAGTTTGTTTCCATTTTAGCTATCATATTTCTACATTGTTTCGAGCAAAATATATTTCTTTGTAGGCATCTTTAAAAGAATATATTGGCTGGGCGCTGTGGCTCACGCCTGTAATCCCAGCACTTTGGGAGGCTGAGGCGGGCGGATCACGAGGTCAGGAGATCAAGACCATCCTGGCTAACACGCTGAAACGCCTTCTCTACTAAAAATACAAAAAATTAGCCGGGCTTGGTGGCGGGCGCCTATAGTTCCAGCTACTCGGGAGGCTGAGGCAGGAGAATGGTGTGAACCTGGGAGGTGGAGCTTACAGTGAGCTGAGATCACTGCACGGCAGCCTGGGCAACAGAGCGAGACTCCGTCTGAAAAAAAAAAAATTGTATATATTAATAGGCCAGGCACAGTGGCTCAAGCCTGTAATCCCAGCACTTTGGGAGACTGAGATGGGCGGACCACCTGAGGTCAGGAGTTCAAGACCAGCCTGGCCAACATGGCGAAAACACTGTCTCTACTAAAAATACAAAAGTTAGCTGGGCATGGTGGTGGGCGCCTGTAATCCCAGCTACTCGGGAGGCAGGAGAATCGCTTGAATCCAGGAGGCGGAGGTTGCAGTGAGCCAGGATTGGACCATTGCACTCCAGCCTGGGTGACAGAGCAAGACTCCATCTCAAAAAAACCAAAATAGATATATAATGAATCTTTTGTCGATATATATGTTGCTCATATCCCGACTGGGCATGGTGGCTCACACCTGTAATCCCAGCACTTTGGGAGGCCGAGGCGGTCAGATCATGAGGTCAAGAGATCGAGACCACCCTGACTGACCAACATGGTGAAACCCCAGCTCTACTAAGAATACAAAAATTAGCTGGGCGTGGTGGTGTGCGCCTGTAGTCCCAGCTACTTGGGAGGCTGAGGCAGGAGAATTGCTTGAACCTGGGAGGCGGAGACCCGCGATCGTACCACTGCACTCTGGCCTAGCAACAGAGCAAGACTGTGTCTCAAAAAAAAAAAAAAAAAAAAAAAAAAATTGGAGAAAGACAACCGGCACTTCAGACAAAAAAACAGTTGTCCTGTAAACATGAAAAGGACAGCCTCATTTGTAACTGGAGAAATCCCAGCACAAATTAAAGCCAGAATGAATGCCAATACATATTTACCACAATGACTAAATTTTTTTTTTTTTTGAGGTGGAGTCTTGCTCTTGCTCTGTTGCCCAGACTGGAGTGTAGTGGCACCATGTTGGCTCACTGCAACCTCCGCCTCCTGGGCTTAAGCAATTCTCATGCCTCAGCCTCCTGAGTAGCTGGATTACAGGTGCGTGCCACCATGCCTGGCTAAATTTTTGTATTTTTATCGGAGACAGGGTTTCACCATGTTGGCCAGGCTGGTCTCGAACTCTTAGCCTCAAGTGATCTGCTTGCCTCAGCCTCCCAGAGTGCTGTGATTACAGGCATGAGCCACCACGCCGAGCCAGAATGACTAAAATTTAAATGTCTGACCAAGTGTTAGCAAGCATTTGGAGTAACAGGAATCCTCATATACTGCTGATGGTAATATAATTTGGTACACATGAGCACTTGTGTACTGAGAAACAGATAAAAGAATGTTCATAGTAATATTATTTTTAGTAGCCCCAAACTAGAAACAAGCCATCAGTGGTAGAAGAGTAAATAAATGGTGTATATTCATGCAGTGAAACACTATACATTAAAGCAAATATTATTATTACATGAAATAACATCATTGAATCATAAAAACATAATTTTTCTTTCTTTTTTTTTTTTTTTTGAGACAGGGTTTCACTCTATCGCCCAAGCTGGAGTGCAGTGGCCTGATCATGGCTAAAGGCAATCTCGACCTCCCTGAGCTGAAGTGATCCTCCCACCTCAGCTTCCTGAGGTAGCTGGGACTGGAGGCATGCACCACCACACCCAGCTAATTTTTTTCTTCCTTTTTAGAGACAGGGTTTTGCCATGTTGTCCAGGCTGATCTCAAACTCCTGGGCTCAAGCAATCCACACACCTTGGCCTCCCAAAGTGCTGGGATTATAGGCTTGAGCCACCTCACCCAGTAGAAACATAATGTCAAACAAAACAAGTGAGACTAAACTATAGTGTTTAGGAATGCATCCTTAAGTGGCAGAGGGATAAAGAAAAGCAAGGAAGTAATTACCACAAGCCAGGGTAGAGGTTACCTGTTGGGAGGAGGGAAACCGTTATGATCAGAATTGGGCCTGTGGGCACTCCTGGAGTGCTCGTAATGTTCTAATTCTTAATGTGGATTGTGATTATATGGGTATTCTTGGGTATTTGTTAAGCCATACAGTTATGATTGAATCTCTTTTCTGTATGAGGAATGTTTTTCTTGAGAAAAAGTTATAAAATATGTATATGACAATATGACTTGGCAAAGAAAAGAAAAACAGTGATCTTTAAAGGAGTGTTCTATAACAAACTAACCTCTAATTTATTGTCTCTTATGTGACAGGGCTGTAAAGTGAGGGACCACATGGTTACACTTCGTGATCAAGGTGAAGGCGGAGATTTGCCGTCCTGTCCCACTGCTAGAATGTTGGACGATTTGCACAAGTACAGAGATGTCATTGTTGTGCCTTTTTCAAAAGATACAGTTAGGTGAGGGGTGGAAAAACCCAACACTGTATTATAGCTTTATTCAGCAGTTCCCATTTCAGAATCCCTTATCCCCAAATCAGCAACGTCAGTCCTCAAGTAGTTTTCATTATTTCAGAAAACTTAACTGAAATTATATGTTAGCTTACAGTAAGAGCAGACAGATATTTATATGATAGGCAGCACACTTAAAAATACTGGAGGTGGCTGGGCGCGGTGGCTCACACCTGTAATCCCAGCACTTTCGGAGGCCAAGGCGGGCGGATCACGAGGTCAGGAGATCGAGAGCATCCTGGCTAACACAGTGAAACCCCATCTCTACTAAAACTACAAAAAATTAGCCGGGCGTGGTGGTGGGCACCTGTAGTCCCAGCTACTTGGGAGGCTGAGGCAGGAGAATGGCGTGAACCCGGGAGGTGGAGCTGGCAGTGAGCCAAGATCGTGCCACTGCACTCCAGCCTGGGTGACAGAGCAAAAAAAAAAGAGCAAAAAAAAAAAAGAAAAGAGCCCTTGGTGATTAAAAAGGTTAAGACCTTAAATCCAATGTGTGGTGGTGATGAATGAGGGTTCCCAAGTTGCTTGAGGCCCTCTCAACCAATTGATCAACCAGTTGATTGTATCAATCAATGCATGATTGATACAACTAGAAAAAAATATTGATGGCTGAGTTCATCTCTCCATGAGTATGAACTTCTCAAATTCAGTAATTTCTGAAGTCGCGTTCATCATTTTGCAATGGCAGCAGGTTGTAAGGTTAGAGGCTGGAGGACTCTTTAAAAGAGGCTGTTCTTAGCCAGGCACAGTGCCTCATGCCTTTAATCCCAGCACTTTGGGAGGCCGAGGCAGGCGGATCACTTGAGGTCAGGAGTTTGAGACCAGTCTGGCCAACATGGTGAAACCCCATGATCATTGATCAACCAATTGATTGTATCAATCAATGCATGATTGATCCAACTAGAAAAAAAATGTTGATGGTTGAGTTCATCTCTCCATGAGTTTGAACTCCTCGAATTCGGTAATTTCTGAAGTCACTTTCATCATTTTGCAGTGGCAGCAGGTTGTAAGGTTAGAGGCTGGAGGACACTTTAAAAGAGGCTGTTCTTAGCCAGGCGTGGTGGCTCACACCTTTAATCCCAGCACTTTGAGAGGCCGAGGCAGGCCGATCACTTGAGGTCAGGAGTTTGAGACCAGCCTGGCCAACATGGTGAAACCCCGTCTGTACTAACCAGGCATGGTGGCAGGTGCCTGTAATCCTAGCTATTTGAGAGGCTGAGGCAGGAGAAGTGCTTGAACCTGGGAGGCATAGGCTACAGTGAGCTGAGATTGTGCCACTGCATTCCAGCCTGGGTGACAGAGGGAGACTCCGTCTCAAAAAAAAAAAAGCATTTCAGTTGGAGTTTCGCTCTTGTTGCCCAGGCTGGAGTGCGGTGGCACAATCTTGGCTCACTGCAACCTCTGCCTCCCGGGTTCACGCCATTCTCCTGCCTCAGCCTCCCAAGTAGCTGGAATTAACAGCCACCCGCCACCACACCCAGCTAATTTTTGTATTTTTAGTAGAGACAGGGTTTCACCATGTTGACTAGGTTGGTCTCGAACTCGTGACCTCGTGAACCACCCGCCTCTGCCTCCTGAAGTGCTGGGATTACAGGCGTGAGCCACTGCGCCTGGCCGCACCCCCCTCCTTTCTTTTTTTTTGAGATGGAGTCTCGCTCTGTCACCAGGCTGGAGTGCAGTGGTGCGATCTCAGCTCACTGCAACCTCCGCCTCCCGGGTTCAAGCAATTGCCCTGCCTCAGCCTTTCAAGTAGCTAGGATTACAGGCATGTGCCACCATGCCTGGCTAATTTTTTGTATTTTAGTAGAGACAGGGTTTCGCCATGTTGGCCAATATGGTCTCAATCTCCTGACCTCGTGATCCGCCCGCCTCGGCCTCGCAAAGTGCTGGGATTAGAGGCGTGACCCACTGTGCCCAGCCAAGGCTGTTCTTAAAGCAGTACCAATTATAGCAGCCCATTCCACCACCTCATAGGTATGATGCGTCAAGTACAATGGTGCTTGCTGAATGGGGTGTCTTTTGCTAGAGGAATCACTGGACGAATTAAGAAATGTCATCGTTGGCTGGGCGCGGTGGCTCACACCTGTAATCCCAGCATTTTGGGAGCCAAGGCGGGTGGATCACCTGATGTCAAGAGTTCAGGACCAGCCTGGCCAACATGGTGAAACCCCGTTTCTACAAAAATACAAAAATTAGCCAGGCATGATGGTGGGTGCCTGTAATCCCAGCTACTCGGGAGGCTGAGGCAGGAGAATCGCTTGTACCCAGGAGGCAGAGGTTGCAGTGAGCCAAGATCATGCCATTGCCCTCCAGCCTGGGTGACAGAGCGAGACTCCATCTCAAAAAAAAAAAAAAAAAAAAAAAAGGAAATGTCATTGTTGACGTGATATCCTTATACTCAGGAACTGTATTTCTAAAAAGCGATTTTTGAAACATTTGTAATAAAAAGATATTCACATTTAAATTTTTAAGAAAGTAAACTCTTCTCCGTAAAAATGTCTTTTTCTTTCAAGTGATGTTGGGGTTGGCCTCTGTGATGAAAAGGGTATAGAATGTGATGTTTTACTGGAGCCAAATACACCATGGGGTCCCAAAACTGGGGAGCTCAATGCTGTGAGTAGTTTTTTTTCACTTATTCTTTATTTACATAAATAATTAATGACATTTAATCTTTGACAGGAACCTGATCAGTTTAAGTTGAAATTGAACTGACTACCTAATCATAAGAAGGTATTATGCCTAGTAATAGGACTCTAAGGGCAATAGGACACATTTCTTGCCCTCAAAGAATTAATAATGAATACATTTAAATTTAGGGAAAAAAACAACATGGGGCCAGCCACGGTGACTCAGACCTGTAATCCCAGCACTTTGGGAGGTTGAGGCAGGAAGATGGCTTGAGCCCAGGAGTTTGAGACCAGCCTGGGCAATATAGTGAGACCTCATCTCTACAAAAAAGGTTTAAAACTTAGCCAAGTGTGGTGCCTTGTGCCTGTAGTCCAAGTTTTGCTGGGAGGCTGAGGTGGGAAGATTGCTTAAGCCCAGGAGGCAGAGGTTGCAGTGAGCCGAGATCACACTACTGCACTCCACCCTGGGTGACAGAGGGAGACTCTGTCTCAAAAAAAAAAAAAGAAAAACCCAAAACATAACATGGTCTTTAAGGTTTTTATTATGGACAAATGATTTGAGGAATGAAGATAGCATGAATGGATATTTTGTTTCCTTCTGCTTCTGTAAACTTTTTTTGGCATAAAATTATCCTTTTATTGTAATTAGGAATATATTTAAATTCTTCAAAAGTTCCAGCCTGGAGTCTGGGTGACAGAGTGAGACCCTGTCTCAAAAAACAAACACACAAAAGTTTCAAAACTGAAATATTTTTAAAGTGACCAGAAAACTTGATTCCTTTGACTCCTTTTTATTCCTTTGCCTTTGTTACTAAGGACCAGGGAATATATTTGCCTATGAATGTTCTGTCTTTGTGTTGGTTAAGATAGCTTTTACTTGAGAAAGTGAAATATTCCCTGTGAAGTGCTTTATAAACTTCAGACAGCTATACAAATATTCAGTCATGCCGGGCATGGTGGTTCATGCTTGTAATCCCTGCACTTTGGGAGGCTGAGATCAGGAGTCCAAGACCAGTCTGGTCAAGATGGCGAAACCCTGTCTTTACTAAAAATACAAAATTTAGCTGGGCGCAGTGGCATGTGCCTGTAATCCCAGCTACTCGGGAGGCTAAAGCAGGAGAATCGCTTAAACCCAGAAGGCGGAGGTTGCAGTGAGTGGAGATCGTGTCACTGCACTCCAGCCTGGGTGACAGAGTGAGACTCTGTCTCAAAAAAAAAAAAAATTCACACATTAACATTTATTTATTAATTATATGTCAAACAACAAACTAGATTTATTGAATGTCCATATGTAGTCTGCTTCCTTAATTTATATTAAAATATAAACATTAAAAAGTGATTGAAATAGTTCTAAAAATAACTAAAATTATTTTAGTAATTTTCTTGTACGTGATTTACTTGTCCTTTGGAAATAATACTGGGAAAGTGTCTTTCTTTTAGAAAACATCCACATCCTCCTCTAGCAGAGGATATTAAAGACTGTAACATATCACTTTCAGCCTGAGTTTTAAATTATGTTTCAGCCTGGAAGGGAACTATATTTGTAACTTTTTTCAACTCTTCTACAGTATCTATATCAAAATAAGGAGCTGCAATCTAGGTAAATGCAGATTTATTAATCTCTTATTCCTGTCTTGTAGTTCTTGTCATTGAAAAACTGGACTCTACAACTGGTAAGTGAGCAATTACAGTTAGCATTCATGGATCTCTTTCTTCCTAAATTAAAGTTTAGTTTAATAGAATCTTATCAGTATCTTATTTTACAAATTTTAGTTAAATGTACATCTTCCTTTTCAGATTCTCCTATTTTGCACTTAAGTAAAAATGCCATTAAATTATTTAAGACAGACTCATATTCCATGTCTGGCTGCATAATCCATAGATCTAGTTAAACGATTTTTTAAAGTCACTCTTATGTCATATTTAGGACATTGAACAAAGCAACAAACTTGTTAAGTTCCAGTTATTTGATTGTTTGAGTGAAGGGTTGGCTTTTTTTTTTTTACCTGTTTGCCAGTACTATGCTGTCTGCCATCAATATTCACAAGAATGGAACAGGAATTTGGATTAGTGATAACAGACAGTAGGGCACAGAGATGCAGGAAAGTAATGCAGATATGGTTAAATAATCCAGGACCACATTCACCCAGAGAATGTGCATATGTGCTTGTTTATAAGACTACTTTAATATTGGTGGTTACTATATTGTAATTTAATCTTAATATCAAGGAATATACATTTACTTGAGTGATAGAGGTACAATTCAACAAATACTGAGTACTTATGTGCCTACTACTGTTCTAGGTTCTGTGAAGGAATTAAAAAATATATGAAGTAATGTAAGCCTGCTCCAAATATAAAAATTCTTATGTCTATTTCCTGGATATTGTGCTAGCCAGAGGTTATTTTATCAGCTCTTGATTGACTGATTCATTCAAAAGAAATTTAGGTAAATATGTTTGAAAGAATTCAATAAAAAATCATAATATTACATTTATAATAGATTTTTTTTTAACTTAGAAACAACAGTCACTGTTTTCAGAAGAAGAAGAATATACCACTGGATCTGAGGTCACTGAAGATGAAGTTGGAGATGAAGAAGAAGTATCCAAGAAACAAAGTATTGGTTTATAAGTTAAAATCAAATCTCCCTGTTTATGAAGGGGTTACATTCTGAAGCCTTTAATGCAAGGGATGGGGAATTGGTTTTATATAGAGAGTAGGTTGCAACATAGAAAAAAAATTGAAAGGAGACACCATCAAGATTTCCTAACCCGGGCATGAACACAAAATACTCAAAGCTGTAAAGAAAGGGCAGTACACTGAGAAAGAACTCTCCAGGTTTTCACTTCAGGTGCAACTAAATGTGTGACTCATTTCAGATGAAATGTGATCTGAGACGTGTAGCTGAGATGATTTGGAGTGATACTCAAATGAACCATTAAATAACATTCATCAATGTATGATTTTTTTTTTTAGTGGAAAGCATGTTTTTTTTGTGTTTGTTTTTTTTTTTTTTTTTTTGAGGCAGAGTCTCACTCTGTCACAGTGGCGCAATCTTGGCTCACTGCAACCTCTACTTCCTGGGTTCAAGCAATTCTCCTGCCTCAGTCTCCTGAGTAGCTCGGACTACTCAGCTAATTTTTCTGTATTTTTAATAGAGACGGGGTTTCACAATGTTGATCAGGCTGGTCTTGAACTCCTGACCTCAGATGATCCACCTGCCTCGGCCTCCCAAAGTGCTGGGATTACAGGCGTGAGCCACTGTGCTCGGCCGAGAGCATGGCTATTGTACAACTATAAAATTAACTTGTGTCAAAATTTCTGAACTCATTAGTTCCGAGAAACAGCAAGGAAAATTGGTTCAAAGAGACTTTGAAGACTCAAGTATTTATAGGCAATTATGAATCTGTTTTGTCACAATAATTTACCTCTTTTAGGATTTCATATGAATAGAATCATGAGTAATCTTTTGTCTCTGGCTTCTTTCTCTTAGTATAAGGTTTTTGAGATTCATTCATATTGTTTATTCCTTTTTATTGCAGAGTGGTATTCCATTATACTACTTTTGAAAAAAGAATGTTGGTCTGTGCGCAGTGGCTCATCCCTGTAATCCCAGCACTTTGGGAAGCCGAGGCAGGCAGATCACCTGAGGTCAGGAGTTCGAGAGCAGCCTGGCCAACATGGTGAAACCCTGTTGCTTCTAAAAATACAAAAATTAGGCCGGGCACGATGGCTCATGCCTGTAATCTCAGCACTTTAGGAGGCCGAGGCAGGCGGATCACCTGAGGTCAGGAGTTCAAGAGCAGCCTGGCCAACGTGGTGAAACCCGGTCTCTACAAAAATACAAAAATTAGCCGGGCATAATGACGGGTTCCTGTAATCCCAGCTATTTGGGAGGCTGAGGTGGGAGAACTGCTTGAACCCGCAAGGCGGAGGTTGCAGTGAGCCAAGATTGTGCCATTGCACTCCAGCCTGGGCGACACAGCGAGACTCTGTCTCAAAAAAAAAAAATACAAAACTTAGCTGGGCATGGTGGCAGGTGCGTGTAATCACAGCTACTCAGGAGGCTGAGGCAGGAGAATCACTTGAACCCAGGAAGGGGAGGTTGCAGTGAGCCGAGACCATCCCATTGCACTCCAGCCTGGGCAATCAGAGTGAAACTCCATCTAAAAAAAAAAAAAGTTAAAAGAAGATTGTAAGTTAGATACAAAATTGATCAGTGTCATACAACTTAGTGAACCCGTAACTCTTAGGTTATCTTTTTAGAAATAATTTGCATTTTTATTAGACACAAAAACCTGAAAGTTAACATGTAACTTTCAGATGCCATCAGTAGATGGTAGTCAGACATGGGACATTCTCTTAGAGAATTGAATGATTCTTGAGTAGGCATGTTAAACAACCCTCCAATGACATTGAAAAAACATGCTGCAGCCAGGCGCAGTGGCTCACACCTGTAATCCCAGCACTTTGGGAGGCCGAGGCGGGCGGATCACGAGCTCAGAAGATCGAGACCATCCTGGCTAACACAGTGAAACCCCTTCTCTATTAAAAATACAAAAAATTAGCCAGGCGTGGTGGCGGGCACCTGTAGTCCCAGCTACTCGGGAGGCTGAGGCAGGAAAATGGTGTGAACCTGGGAGGCGGAGCTTGCAGTGAGCCGAGATTGTGCCACTGCACTCCAGCCTGTGCGACAGAGCGAGACTCCGTCTCAAAAAAAAGAAAAGAAAAAACATGCTGCCTTCCCTTTATCTTCTCTCCAAGTTTTACGTAATTTTTCTTAACATCTCGAATCCTCCAATGAAAAAGCTGGTTCTTTAGCAATTTTGTGTCCATTTTAATTAGTAAAGGAGAAAATTCTACAATGTTTCTTTTCAACAGTTTGATTGAGGTATAAGTTATATGTTACAAAATTCACCCATTTTAAGTGTACATGTAGATGAGTTTTGGCACACAGATGTGTAACCACCACCAAAATAAAAATCTAGAACATCATTTCAAAAAGTTCCTTCGTCCCCCTTTGTACTCAGTTCCCTTTCTCCAGTTCTGCTCTCAGGCAACCATGAATCTGTTTTGTCAAAACAATTTACCTTTCTTAGGGTTTCATATGAATGGAATCATGAGTAGTTTTTTGTTCCTGGCTTCTTTCACTTAGTATGAGGTTTTTGAGATTCATCCATATTATTGCATGTGTCAGTAGTTTATTCCTTTTTATTGCAGAGTAGTATTCCATTGTATGGCTATACCATACTTTGTTTATCCATTCCCAATTTCATGGGCATATGGGTGCTTTCCTCTTGTTGGCTGTTGTGAATAATGCTGCTGTGAACATTTGCATACAAGTCTGTGTGGACATGTGTTTTCATTTTTCTTGAGTAGATACTTAGGAGTGAAATTACTAGATCATATGGTAAGTGTATGTTTCACTTTATAAGAAACTGCCAAATTGTTTTGCAAAGTGGCCGTTTTGCATCTCTACAAGCAGTGGAGCAGTCCCACCACTGTGCATTCCCACCAGTAGTGTATGAGAGTTCCAGTTGCTGCACATTCACATCAATACTTGGTATTATTGGTCTTTTTAATTTTAGCCATTCTAGTGGGTAGATAGTGTTAAGCAACTTTTCATGTTTTTACTGACCATTTATATATCTTTTTTATGAAGTGTTTGTTTAAATCTTTGGCCCATTTTTATTGGATCATTTGCCTTATTATTGAATTGTAAGATTTCTTTGTATATACTTTAGATCTAAGTCTTTTTTGTCAGCCATATGTTTCTCAATATTTCCCCTAGTCTATGCCTTGCCTTTTAATTTTCTTTTTTTTTTCTTTTTTTTTGAGATAGAGTCTTGTTCTGTCATCCAGGCTGGAGTGTAGAGGTGCGATCTCTCACTGCAACCTCTGCCTCCTGGGTTCCAGCGATTCTTCTGCCTCAGCCTCCCGAGTAGCTGGGATTACAGGTGTGCACCACCACACTGGGCTACTTTTTGTATTTTTAGTAGAGATGGGGTTTTGCCATGTTGGCGGAGCTGGTCTCGAACTCCTGACCTCAGGTGATCCGCCTGCCTCGGCCTCCCAACTGCTGGGATTACAGGCATGAGCCACCTCACCAGGCCTAATTTTCTTAATGATGTATTTTGAAGAGCTAAAGTTTTAAATTTTGTGAATTCTAATTTTTTAGTTTTTCCTTTTTATGTTCCATTATTTAATAGCTAAGAAGTATTTGCCTACCTCAAAGTCACAAAGATTTTCTGCTGTGTTTTCTTCTAGAAGTTGTATGATTTTAGCTTTTTATTTAAGATTATGATCCCATTCAGGTTAATTTTTTTGTATGAGTTAAGGGTCAAGCTTCCTTTTTTTCCATAGGCATAGCCGGTTGTTCCAGCACCGTTTATTGAAAAGACTATTCTGTTCTAACATATTGGATTACCTTGGCATGTTAAAAATCGGTTGACCATTTACATGTGGCCCCATTTCCAAACTGTGTTTTCTTCCATTGATTCTTATGTCTTTCTTTACATCAGCATATCAATACCACACTGTTAATTTTTGTAGATTTTAGTGAGTCTTGAAACCTGGTGGTGTGAGTCCTCCAAAATTATTCTTTAATTTTAAATTATTTTGGCCTTTCAAGGTACGTTGCATTTTCTACAAATTTTAGAGTCTGTGTGGATATTTCTACAAATATCTTTTTGGGATTTTTGTTGGGATTGTGTTGAACCCATATACCAATTTGGGGTGAATTCCTTTTTTTTCCAATGGCAGTTCTTCCCATCCATGAACATGGAATATCTCTCCATTTATATAGGACTTCTTTAATGTCTCTCAACAATGTTTTGTAGTTTCAGTGTACAGGTGTTGAACATCTTTTGTTAAATTTATTCCTCCGTGTTTTTATGCTATTATAAATGGAGTTGTTTTTCCGGTTGCTCATTGATGGTAATACTAATGATGGTCAAAATACAATTGATGTTTGTATATTGACTTTGTGTCCTGTGACCTTGCTAAATTCAGTTATTTGCTCTTCATTTATTAGATTTCATTCCAATCTGTATACCTTTTATTTATATGTCTTGCCTTTTGTGCTGGTTAGGACCTGATATTGAATAGAAGTGGTGAAAACAGACAGACATCCTTACCTTGTCTGATGGGGAAAACATCCAGTCTTTAATCGTTAAGTATGTAATGTCAGTTGTCAGCTTCCCATAAATGTCCTTTCTCAGTTGAGAAAGTTCCTTTCTGTTTCTATTTTGCTGAGTTTTTATAGCGAATAGGTGTTGCATTTTATCACATGCTTTTTCTCCATCTATTGAGAAGATCATATAGATGTTCTCCTTTATTGTATCAATTAGGTACATTGATTGATTTTTCACGTTATACCAGTATTCTGGTGTAAACTCCACTTGGTCATTTGTTACTCTTTTTATATATCACTGCAGGAGTCTGATCCACAGATCCTGACCCAACGACAGATGAATAACTTACACTGACACAGATATTATGCTTGTCTGTCTGGCTGAGAGTCTGGGCCGCTTACAGACTCCCAGGAGAGTGCTGTAAAGAGTTGCAGCCGCGACCCAGACTTGCTGGCCTTCCCAGCATTTATTCAGCACACATTAAACGACAAAAGTCTCAAGTAAATGCCACTAGAATGTAATTACCGTTGCCAACCCACTTAGTAGAGAGCAATCATGCACCCACAGATTGTCAACGGTTAGTCTTAGAACCACATGAGTAAACAAGCTATTTAGATAGACTGCTCTACATTCCTATGTTAATTACCCTTGCTATAGCTCAAAGAGGATTAGGCTGCCTTCAGCCATAACTCTATCCTGAGGCTTCTGCAAAAACCTTCTGGCCTTCTAAGAAAGTTTATTTTACAGTTTTTCCCACCATCCTGACTGAACTCCTACATCTCACTGCATTGGACTTGCATATATATATGTGTGTATCTATGTATATATACATGCATGTGTATATACACATACATATATTTTTGAGACAGGGGCTCTCTGTTGCCCAGGCTTCAATGCCGTGTCGTGATCACAGCTCACTGCAGCCTCGACCTCCCAAGGCTCAAGCAGTTCTCCCACCCAAGCCTCCTGAGTAGCTGGGACCACAGGTGTGCACCACCATGCCCAGCTAATCTTTAAGATTTTTTGTAGAGACAAGGTCTCCTTATATTGCCCAGGATGTTCTTGAACTCCTAGCCACAAGCAATCCTCCTACCTCGGCCTCCCAAAGTGGTAGGATTACAGGTGTGAGCCACCATGCCTGGGCTTACTTGCTAATATTTTGTTAAGGATTTTTTGTTTCTGTTCATGAGAGATATTTGTAGTTTTCTTCTTATGTATTTTTCAGGTTTTGATATCAGAGTCATGATGACATTAGAAAATGAGTGACATCACCCCCTTTTCTGAAAGAGTTTGTGTAGGATTTGTATTGTTTCTCCCTTAAAAGAATAATAAAATTCAGTGAAGCCATATGGGCCTGGAGCTTTTGTTATAGGAAGGCTTTAAATTATGAATTCACTTTCATTAGTTAATAGATGCTATTCAAGTTTTCTATTGCCTCTTCAATTTGTTTTGATAATTTCTGTCTTTCAAGGAATTTTATCCAGTTTGTCAGATTTATTGGCATAAAGTCACTCATCGTATATATATATATATATTTTTTTTTTGAGACAGAGTCTCGCTCTATCACCAGGCTGAAATGGCACAATCTCGGCTCACTGCAACCTCTACCTCCTGGGTTCAAGTGATTCTTGTGCCTCAGTCTCCCGAATAGCTGGGATTACAGGCATGCACCACCATACTTGGCTAATTTTTGTACTTTTAGTATAAATGTAAATGTGCCTAATTATAAAGCCCTAAAATATACAAAGCAAAAACAGACAAATCTGTAAGGAAAAATACACAGATTACCACTTATAGCTAGAGATTTCAATACTTCTTTCTTACAGCTACTTGGGAGGCCGAGGCACGAGAATCGCTTAAACCGTTGAAGCAGAGATTGCAGTGAGCCGAGATCATGCCACTGCACTCCAGCATGGGTGACAGAACAAGACTCTGTCTCAAAAAAAAAGAAAAAGAAAATGAACCCCTGTAAAGCAATTTCAGCTTATGAACCCCTGTAAAGCAATTTCAGCTTTGCTTCATGGTATATTTGCTTTCTATCCAGAGGTTAATTTGTTAGTTTTCTTAAAACAATGTTTTTCTTAATGGTCTTATTGTTTAGAAGTAACAAGTGGACTGGAAAAGTATATGGGGCCTAAGTTTATAACATTGTCTTCTCATTATCAGGGAAAAAGGAGAAGCCAAAGAAGTTCACTAGACAACCAAAAAAGCAGGTATCTTCACCCTGTGCCCAGAGGAAAGAAAAGGCATTGGAGAAGGTAACTCTGAATTATCTGTTGTTAAAGTTCATATGGAAAAATAAGCATGTGAGTATAGCCAGAAAAAAATAAAAAGAGTAATGAAGACACATGGAATGCTAGCAATGTAAAAATGAAGTTTTTTATAGACTGAGATTAAAGATCTCTAAGATATATTGACAAATGAGAAAAGGAAGGTGCAGAAACGTATAGTGGTATAGTATGCTACCATTTGTGTAAAGTAGATGGGGGAAATATATAAATAACTTCCTTGTATATGCATAAAATGTTTCTGGAAGGCTACATAAGAACTCGATAAAATTGGTTGCCTCTCAGGAAGGGAACTGAACGTGTAAGGGACAGAAGTGAGAGTCTTTTCATTATATGTGCCATTATACCTTTTGAATTTTAAACCAATATTATTTATTCAAAAAATTAAAAATAGTCTTTTAAATTAAAAATAAATCATATTTTATGATATTTAAAAATAATTCTTATTTCTCCATGCCTTTGAAGGAAGGGGTAAAAAAGCCAGGTAGGAATAAGAGAATAGTAATAACCACCATTGGCTAAAAGAAAAACTGTGAATTTCAAAAATGTGTGATAGGTTGAGTCTGGGTTAAGATCCACAGAATTACATTGGACACATTGTACATTCATCTTTGTGTTAAGTAGCACAGGCATATAAGTGGGTTAATTCTAAAAAAAAATTGTATCAGCTGGCTGGGCATGATCACTCATGCCTGTAATCCTAGCACTTTGGGAGGTCAAAGTGGGTGGATTGCTTGAGCCCAAGAGTTTGAGACCAGCCTGGGCAACATGGCAAAACCCCATTTCTACTAAAAAAAAATACAAAAATTAGCCAGGTATGGTGGCACACACCTGTAGTCCCAGCTACTCAGGAGGCTGAGGTGCGAGGATCACTTGAGACCAGGAAGTCGAGGCTGCAGTGAGCTATAATCATGCCACTGCACTCCAGCCTGGGCAACAGAGTGAGACCCTGTCTTCAAAAAAAAAAAAAATTGCATAAGCTGGGATTCCAAGGTTAACAAATGAAGCTGGATTCAAATTCTAGGTCTGTATCTCTTTGGAGAAGTTTCTTAACTTCTCTGAACCTGTTTTATTATGAAGATATTAATAGTGCCTGTCTCATTTGGTTGGTGCAAGGTTTAAATGAAATAGCACTTGTAATGCTCTTGGTACAGTGTCTTCACACTCAGTAAGAGTGAACTCTTTTTATTACTAACTATAGCACTAATCAGTAAACATGTTCTAATTGGGCCTTAATGTTGTCTACTTTTTTTTAGTCAGCTTCTAGAGATGTGTCTCCTTTCGTGTGAGTATTGCTCCTTAATCCAATCGGATATCCACTCTTAAAGAAGCATCAATGCTGATTTTTGTTCAATTTTTTCAATAGTATGAGTATGCAGAAGAATAAGTGGGATGCCACAAGATCCTTGAGATTCAACCAGGATGCACAAAGAGAAGACGGTAAATTTTATTATTTGGGTAATGTACAAATTGGATGTAAATAGCAATGATTGGTGTGTGTTTCATTTTATACAGTATGCTGAATAGCTCTAGAGTTTCTAGCTAAAGTAAGGCCCCAAATTTGCATATTCCCTTAGGCAACAACCAGAGTTTCATTACTAGACAACCCCACTGAATAATGTATTATTTTATGCATCTGTGGTTTTGAGATCATTCACATTGACCTTTGCCCATTATTTTCACCATAAAGATGACTGAATATGTTTTAGGCTGTTTTATGGTAATCTAAAAAGCAGCACAATTATCCACAGATGAGTCATCTGCCACTTGCTAACTTAAATTCTTCACAGATATATAGATGTATGTGTCTGTAAAATAGTATCAAAGGATATTTTCATAAACCCTAGGTGATTACAGTCTTTTTGAGAAATAAAAAGTTATATATCATCCTTATGAAAAGTAAAGTTTACTGTTTTTTTCCCTTCAGATCAACGGCGAATGACTGAAATTACAGGGCACCTAATAAAAATGAGATTGGGGGATCTGGACCGAGTCAAGTCAAAGGAAGCAAAAGAAGTAAGAATTGTGTACTAGTGTATTGTACTTGTGTAAAATATGCCTTCCTACTTTTATTTTCAGCTTAGGATTATAAAGATGTCTTAGGCAGAATTTTAAAAGAGTAATTTATGTGTTTGTTTGTTTGTTTGTTTTTTTCTTTGAGATGGAGTTTTGCTCTTGTTGCCCAGGCTGGAATGCAGTGGTGCAATCTCGGCTCACTGCAACCTTCGCCTCATGGGTTCAAGCAATTCTCCTCCCTCAGCCTCCCAAATAGCTGGGTTACAGGCATGCACCACCATGCGCAGCTGATTTTTTTGTATTTAGTAGAGATGGGGTTTCACCATGTTGGTCAGGCTGGTCTCGAACTCCTGACCTCAGGTGATCCACCCACTTTGGCCTCCCAAAGTGCTGGGATTACAGGCGTGAGCCACCACACCTGGCCAAATATATGTGGGGGTTTTTTGTTGGTTTTTTTTTTTTTTTTTTTTTGAGATGGAGTCTCACTCACTGAGACTTGCAGTGGTGCCATCTCGGCTCACTGCAACCTCCACCTCCCAGGTTCAAGTGATTCTCCTGCCTCAGCCTCCCAAGTAGCTGGGACTACAGGCATGCACCACCATGCCCGGCTAATTTTTTCATTTTTAGTAGAGACGGGGTTTCACCATGTTGGCCAGGCTGGTCTTGAGCTTTTGACCTCGTGATCTGCCCGCCTCAGCCTCCTAAAGTACTGGGATTATAGGCGTGAGCCACAATGCCTGGCCACATTTATGTATTTTTTTATATTCTGTATCAGTTAGCCTGTTTATTCACGTAAAAGTTTTCCACCATGTCTTATTATCCATGGTCCATAGGTCATCTATAACACATATAATAAAGTACATCATTGCTGAAAATGTGTCATCACACCAAGAGTAGGTTAACTGTGCGTTGTTGACCAAATGCTAACTATCCAGCAGGCGACTGTCTGAAAGTACCAATTTTCATCAACTCTGCATGTAGTGCTTAGATGTCATCTCTAAAATAAGATGTCATCTTGCTGAAAATGGTGACAAGAAACACCTATATTCTTGCTAGAATTACATTTTAGTCATGACATTATGTATTATCATTAGTATTGGTATTATGTAAGTACCATACTCTTGCCCTAATTCTTTTATTTAAAAATTTACTTCCCTATAAAACTTCTAAAAGGAAACATAGGAGAAAATATTTGTGACCTTAGGAAAATATTTCTTAGCCTACAACACCAAAAGCATGATCCATAAATGAAAAATTGGACTTCATCAGCATTTAAAATTTCTACTTTTCAAAAGACACTATTTAGACAATGAAAAGACAAGCCATAAACTATGAGAAAATATGTGTAAAACACCTGATAAGGAATGTGTATCCAGAATCTATAAAGAACTCTCAAAACTCAATAATAAAATTTAAAAACCTAATAAAAATAAATGGGCAAAAGAGTAAACAGACACCATGAAAAAAAGGATTTCCATGCCAGATAAGCATATATCATTAGATGTGCTAAGATACAACATCATTAGTCCTTAGGGAAATGTAAATTAAAACCTAAATGAGGCCGGATACAGTGGCTCACACCTGTAATCCCAGCACTTTGGGAGGCCAAGGTGGAAGGATCACTTGAACCCACGAGTTTGAGACCAGCCTGGGCGACATGATGAAACCCTATCTCTACAAAAAAAAGTAACAAAAATTAGCCAGGTATGGTGGTGGATGCCTGTAGTCCCAGCTACTAGCGAGACTGAAGTAGGAGGATCGCTTGAGCCTGGGAGGCAGAAGTTGCAATGAGCCAAGAGCACGCCACTACACTCCTGCCTGGGCAACAGAACGAGACCCTGTCTCCAAAGGGAAAAACCCATACCAAGTGCTGATGAGGATGTGGAGCAACTGGAACTCTCATATATAGCTAGTAGAAATGCAAAAAGGAATGGTCACTTTGGAAAATAGTTTGGCAATTTCTTATAGACATTCCCTCACCATACAGATCAATTCACACATTTTTATAATAGCTTTATTCATAATTGCTAAAAACTAGAAATACTATAAATGATGTCCTTTACCTGGTAAATGGGAAAACAAACTGCATATAAAAAGAACATTGGACCGGGTGCAGTGGCTCACACCTGTAATCCCAGCACTTTGGGAGGCCAAGGCGGGCGGATCACAAAGTCAAGAGATCAAGACCATCTGGCCAACATGGTGAAACCCCGTCTCCACTAAAAATACAAAAATTAGCTGGGCGTGGTGGTGCAGGCCTGTAATCCCATCTACTCAGGAGGCTGAGGCAGGAGAATCACTTGAACCCGGAAGGTTGAGGTTGCAGTGAGCCAAGATCGTGCCACTGCACTCTAGCCTGGGCAACACAGAGCGATACTCCATCTCAAAAAGAACATTGAGCCCAGGAATTCAAGACCAGCCTGGGCAACATAGGGAGATTCTGTTTCTACAAAAAATAAGAAATTAATTGGGCATGGTGGTGCACACCTGTGAGGTCTCAGCTCCTCTGGAGGCTGAGGTAGGAGGATCACCCAGGAGGTCAGGGCTGCAGTAAGCCTTGATCGCACCACTGCACTCCAGCCTGGCTGACAGAGTGAGATGCTGTCTCCAAAAAAAAGGAACAAACTTCTGATGTATGCATCAATATGGATGAATCTCCTATATGTGAAAGAAGCTAGATTCAAGTGGCTACATGTTATATGATTCTACTTATATAATGTTCTGGAAAATGCAAAACTATGGGGATAGAAAACAGACAAATAGTTGCCAGAAATTGGTAGTGGTAGGTAGATCGACTTGACAGGGGAACAAGGGAATTTTCTTGGGGGTGATAGGACTATTTTCTGTGTCTTCATTGTGACAGTAGTTATAAAACTGTATGCATTTGTCAAAACCCACACCTGTACACTAAAATGGTACATTTTTCTTTATGTAAATTAAACCTCAAAAAGACTGGATTTAAAAAATCAAAATAAAATTACTTCTAAATTAAAAAGTAATCCCATTTTAATAAAGCAGAGCTTCTATTGATTCTGTGAAGATAACAGTATTGCTTCTTTATTCTGCAGTTTGCAGGAGGTATTTATTCCAGGCTGGAAGCACAAATCAAGGCCTCAGTGCCAGTTAGTGCACGCCAAAGCAGCTCAGAGAAAAACACAAGGTAAATCAGCATAAACTAAACCAGAGTGTCAGTGGCTTTGAAGTGAATTTTTTTTTTAAGATAAATCATATGAACACTAGAAACATATCATTTGAGTTTGGTTTTATGTTTTGTTTCAATGATTATATTATCAAGGCACTAATTAGAAACAGATTTTAACTTAAAAGATAAAATCTAATGAAAATATAGCTTTGTGGATTTTTTAAAGTTTTCTGCTTGTTGGACTAGCTTCATTCTGAGCCAACTCCTGATAAAAATGTAAGCTATAGTGCTACTGGAAGTAGCAGAATTTTTGTACTGTTTGTAGATCACATATTAATACTTTATATAAATCACTGTAATCTTTACCACTCCTTGCTTTATATTTTATTTCTCTTAATAAAATCTAACTGATGGGTCTTATGTCATTTTACATCACAAATTTTCTGTTAGAGATTAACAGTTACTGAGATTTGAACATTAATATTACAGATTCTAATTCCTTATTTATGATTCTGAAATCCAGAAAGTTCAAAAAGCTGAAAGTGTTTTCATACATTTGTAGCAATTCAAACTTGCACTGAGCTGCTGTGATACCATTTATATTTTTTATTCATCCCACTTATATTTGATTATGGGGCACTGCTCCAGATCCATTATATACAATGTACATAACGTATTATCTCTGAGAAGTAACAAATCTCAATTCCAAAAATACATCTCCTGTTAAGAGTTTTAGAAAATGGATTACGGAGCTGCAAGAAGATTTATTAAACCTTGATGTTGCCAAGCCAACATAATCTAAAGGAGCACCAACTTCCTATTGTTTTAGAAGCAATTCTGACCTCCTTTTCTGTTTAAAAAATCTAGGTCTAAAAGTCGTTTTGGTCAAGGGCGTCCTGCATAAAGTACCTTAAAATATAAGTAAAAAGAGAGAAGGCACTCTTCTGGACATCTGAAATTGCTCACTTCTTGAAGATCTTCAGAACAATGACTTCCAACTGTTTTATGTTATTATTATTTTAATCCACATAAATCATAATTCTAAAAGAAATGCATAGTTAGGTTTTATGAAAATCTAATTGTAAATATGAAACTTTTTAAATCTGATTTTCTTCTAATATCATTCTAGGCTATGTAGAAAGCAATTATTTACAAATTTGCATAGTTGAGACTCCCAGTGTTTTCCTTTATTTATTTGAAAAAGAAAGGCCTAAACTGTCAGGTAGCCAAGTTTTTTTAAGACCTTAAAAGTTAGGGGAACACAACTGGTAGTGTTACCATGCATGGCACTGATTGTAGTATGTCTTTGGAGCTGTAAATCTTGAGATAGCATTGAGAACTGCAGGTTGTGTGACGAAATTCCCAATGATGCTAATTTTAAGTCTGCATGAATATTAAGGAGTGACAGGTCTCAAGACTGCATTAAATGAAGTTTCAGGGTAAGGTATTTCAGTACTGTGTTGGGCAGAAGGGTTAATTTTTTTCAGCATTATATCGTGGAAAGTACAATGTTAATCCAACTTTTTTTTCTTTCAGTTTTTAATGCTTATCTATTGATCATCTGAGCTGGAATTACTGATTATTACTCTGTCCTCTGTGAAACTAGTGGCATTCTGAATTTGGTAAAATAACCATTGATAGTTTTAGGATAGTAAATCATTTCTGTTATATGAGACACCCACTGTACAGTTCTCAGGGCTCTAAAACCCAACCATATTTCTGTAACCATTCAAATAACTCCTTAAAACAGTTATACTTGCTAGTTCGGTCTAAAATTTTCCAAATACATTAGATAGGTGAAAATTTGCATATATTCAAGAAAAATCAAAATAAAATTCTATTTTATAAATCATGTTTAAATTTTTCTAGCCAGGCAGAAAGAGTGCTCAGGGAAAATTTGTTCCAAACTATAACCATATAATAAATTATGTGTTTGTAAATTATATGTAGGTCTCTGAAAAACTTTAAGATGCACTGTTTCTATTTTTTTAAGTCTTAATTTGCCTTATAACTGACATTTCTTCAAATTATTCAGAGAACAGACTTTAATAATGTGTGACAAAAGAGCAATTTCCATTGAAATATTGAAGTGTTACACTCAGTTTACACGTACAGAAATCATTCTTTTTAGTGAGTCTTTTAGTTGATAAATGAAGCTAGATGTTATTTGATAACTGGCTTTGCCAAGGTTTTTGAACTGCTGTTTAGAAATTTTGTTCCCATTTATATTTGTTTCAATTGTTTGATACTGTGGAAATAGACTTTTATTTTCGAAAGAAAATGTCTTGTAGTACATATTATATGTAAGTACTCTGTTAAATACCAGAGTTTTTTTTGTAGTTTACTGTGTTTTCTGATTAAAGGATTTGGATTTGTACATGTAAACAGTGCTGTAATGGTCACGACTAGATAAGGAAAAAATATATATGCTCTTTTGATTTTTAACTGATGGTAAAAAGGCAAACTGCTTCTCCCCTGGGAGGCCTATACCACTGAATTAATTTTTACAAACCAGAGTTTATCAGAATTTGATTCTCTTCAGAATGCTTTTGGCCAGGTGTAGTGGCTCACGCCAGTAATCCCAGCACTTTGGGAGGCCGAGGCGGGCAGATCACCTGAGGTCAGGAGTTTGAGACCAGCCTGGCCAACGTGGTGAAACCCTATCTCTACTAAAAATACAAAAAGATTAGCCAGGCATGGTGGCATACACCTGTAGTCCCAGCTACTCGGGAGGCTGAGGCACAAGAATTGTTTGAACCCGGGTGGCAGAGGTTGCAGTGAGCTGAGATCATGTTTCTGCGCTCCTAGCCTGGGTGACAGAGCAAGACTCCATCTCAATTTAAAACAAAAAAAGAATGTGTTTTTAATTTTGTTAATGTTTGTCTGTTATACATAGCACTGGTACCGCAAACATTTTACTTAAACTCTTAATAGCATTTCTTTCGCCAGATACTTTAATATTTCACCTTACATTAATCCTGGATTCACATTTCTTTAATTGAAATAAATGTTAATGACAAAAGTTGTTTGGAAAGTCTCTTTATCTGAATTATTCCATCTTCTCAGAAAAAAAGTCTGGAGTAGCTCTAGATTCCACAGGTTTTCATGGAAAATTATCTCTGCTACAAGGTGAAATTTTTGAGTTTTAAGATTATTTTAGGCCAGGCACAGTGGCTTACGTCTGCAATCCCAGCACTTTTGGAGGCCAAGGCAGGAGGATTGCTTGAGCCCAGGAGTTCAAGATCAGCCTGGGCAACATAGTGAGACCTCGTCTCTACAAAAATAAAAATTAAAAAAATTAACCTGGCATGGTGGCACACACCTGTGGTCCCAGCTATTAGGGAGGCTGAGGTGGAAGAATTGCTTGAGCCTGAGAGTGCAAGGCTTCAGTGAGCCATGATTGTGCCACTGCACTCCAGCCTGTGCAGCAGAACAAGACCCTATCAAAAAAAAAAAAAAAGATTATTTTAAATGAGGTTATGCTGGTAAAGATTTATTAAACATTTAAGGGTTAAAATATTTCAGAAAAGATGATCTGATAACAATGCTGATTGTACACAATTGCATTTATTTGTTACTTTCCTTCTTCACAATACTCAGCCAGGTACTGTGAGATGTGCTTATTGCTTTGGAAGCTGAGGCTGAAGCTCTGTCAAGCTTGTCTACTAAAGGCACGTTATAATATAAAAAGAAACCAAAAAAAATGTATTTTGTGTTTAATTCCTGGAATTAATTCTGCAGCCAACCTTCAGCTATTCACTGAGCAACTGTGTCACACTTCTCAGGACTGGGATAGCTAGCCAGTTTAATTCTAATAGGCTAACTCTCTTTCTCCTATTTAAAGCTGATCTATTGGGGAAGATGGTACAAGAATAATATTATTCCACCCTTATAAGATTTTGGGGCAATTAAATAAGTTAATAGATCTAAAACAACTAGCACAGTACTTTCTGGCCTATAGTAAGCCCTCCATAAATGTTTGCTATTATTGTTGCATTGTTATGTTAACATGTGGAAGGTAGCCTAAATTCTTTGAGAGTTTCATATCCCTTTTCCTGTAACTTGAGTTAAGACTGTGTATGTGTGTGCGTATATGTATTTAGTGCAAGAAAGGAGGCACCTAATACTTTTCGTGGTTTCTATGGCATCATTTGAAACTTACAAGCAAATCATATCAAATGTCTTATTTAGGCAAAGTAAGTGGCATTTGTAGAAAGAGCTAGGTAAAGAATACTGTTTCCTGATACGTGGTAGGGAACTATGTGGTAGGGAGCTATGCTGTTTTCAAAGAGGCTTCAACTGAAGGACAGTAAGTGAAGGCCATAGCAAAGTCTAACAGCAGCTCTCTTTCTAAGATGTATCTTTCCTTGAGAAAATATAGCCAGTTTGCTTCTTACTATTTGTTCATGAACACAGCCAATTCTTACCAAACTGAAGGTGATGGTCCTAGTAGTTGCTATTTGTTGAATGCTTTGGTTATGCTAAAGATCATGCTCCTGATACATTCCTTATCTCCTTTAGCCTCACAACGCCCGCCCCCGCCACCAAATTGGGCATTATCCTCATTTTACAGGTGGAAGAGAACATTCAGTGAGGCATAGTAAACTACATACTGGGGTTGGAATCTGGGTCTATCAATACATTCCAACACCTTCTTGAAATAGTTTTCCCTTGGGTTGCCTGAAAATTTTCTCTTAGAGGCCTCCTGCCTCACTGGCAGCTTCTTCAGACTGAAAGCAGGCAACTCGAGTGCACTTTCGGTAGTTTCAGGCTTGTTTACTCAACTGCTTAACATTTGTACTTGGAGTACCAGTAGGTATCTCCAACTTAATTAACATAATCAAAACAGAACTTGTGATATCTCTTCCCATTCCTGCCCCCAAACTCCCTGCTTATTCAAACCCATTCTTTTCCAATTCAGTAAATGGCATTATTGCCTACCGAAGTGCACAAGGCAAATATCTAGAAAGTATTCCTTATTCTTCTCTTTTCTTCACATCTGACATTCAATTTATCAGCAAGTCCCATACGTACTCCACATCCATTTGCTTCTATCTCCACTATCACCACCCCCAGTTATTAACATCTTTTTCATGAAGTACTACAAATGCCTCATAAGTAATTCCCCAGCTTCCATTTCAACTTCTGTATAACTTGTGCTCAAAGCGACGTTCGTGATTTTTCGATGTGGCTCAGATCACATCACTCCCCTGCTTAACACTAATAGCATCCCATCAAACCTAGAATAAAATCCAACCTTCAGGCCGGACGCGGTGGCTCACGCCTGTAATCCCAGCACTTTGGGAGGCCAAGGTGGCCAGATCACGAGGTCAGGAGTTTGAGACCAGCCTGACCAACATGGCAAAACCCCATCTCTGTTAAAAAATAGAAAAATTAGCTGGACGTGGTGGCGGGTGCTTGCAATCCCAGCTACTTGGGAGGCTGCAGCAGGAGAATCACTTGAACCCGGAAGGTGGAGGTTGCTGTGACCTAAGATCGTGCCACTGTCTCAAAAAAAAAAAAAAAAAAAAAAATTCCAACCTACACTAGTCCTACATGGCCTACCCCCTGGCTGCCTCTCAGACTTCATTTTCCATCTTATTTACTACGCTGGAATATAGTAAGTCATTCCCACTTTTCTGTTCCTTGACATTAGCCATTCCCGCTGTCTAGAAGGCTGTTATAATTCAGGTTTTAATTTAGATCTTACTTCCTCACAGGAGGTATTTCCTGTGTGCTTAGTATAAAATATTCATCCAAGTCACTCTCATCACATCCTCATAGTTTATTTCTGTGCATAACTGACATTATTACTCTGATACTTTCCTTCCTTTATTTGTTGGTTTGCAATCTGTATCCCGTGATAAAATGTGAACGCCAGAGCAGAGACCTGGTCTTCTTGACTACTGCTGTGTCCCCAGTGCCTAGAACAGTGACTGGAGCAGCTGACACTAAAAACCTTTCCTCTGGAGTTCATATTTTTGGGTGGTATCTCCAATATCTGGACTGTCCCCAGCCCGGCATCATTTTAATCTGCACCTGTTGGAGTTTCAGCAGATAGAGGCCTTGTCACAAATACCTTGTCATGGGTTCTCAAGATCAGTTTGTCTGTCACCCTATGGAAAGATACACTAGATTAGTTTGATGTAGGCATGAGTCCAGGTGAATTCTGCTGAAATCTGGGTAGCTTCAAGTTCTGAGCAGACTAGAAAGTTAAATAAGCTGACCTGATGGCCACCCTTTTATCTCAACAGTATATTAAACATGAACACTTGGATAAGTAACCACTGCAGCGTTTTATGGGGAAGATGCTATGGAATTATGAGCATCTCATAAGCTCACCAAAGTGATTAGGTAACTGTTTTCCATCCTTATATTTTTCCCACCTTTTCCCCACTTTTTTCTTTGTCTAAAAATAACATTATAAACAGAAAAAAAGAATGAAGAAAAATGAACAGAGCCTCAGAAAAATATGAGACATCATTAAGCTCGCTAACATACATCTAATGGAAGTTCCAAAAGGAGAGGAGAGAGAGAAAGGAAGATAAAAAAATGTTTAAAGAAATAGGGGCTGAAGACTTTCCAAATCTGATGAAAAACTTTATACATCCAAGAAGCTCAACAAACTCTAAGAGGTTAAATGCAAAGAAATCCACAAACACACATTATAGTAAAAAATGTGCAAGGACAAGGAGAAAAGCTTGAAGAAGCAAGAGAAAAATCCTTACTTATGGCCCAGCACAGTGGCTCACGCCTGTAATCCCAGCACTTTGGGAGGCTGAGGTGGGCGGATCATGAGGTCAGGAGATTGAGACCATCCTGGCTAACACGGTGAAACCCTGTCTCTACTAAAAATACAAAAAATTAGCCGGGCATGGTGGCATGCACCTGTAGTCCCAGCTACTTGGGAGGTTGAGGCAGGAGAATCGCTTGAACCCGGGAGGTGGAGGTTGCAGTGAGCTGAGATCACACCACTGCACCCCAGCCTGGGTGACACAGCGAGACTCTGTCTCAAAAAAAAAAAAAAAGAATCCTTACTTACAAGAGAACCCCAGTAAGATCAACAGCTGACTTCTCATCAGACGCAGTGGAGAACAGAAGGCAGTGGATAACAGCCCAGGCACAGTGGCTCATGCCTATAATCCAGGCACTTTGCGAGGCCAGGGAGGGAGGATTGCTTGAGGCTAAGAGTTCAAGACCAGCCTGGCCAACATAGGGAGACCTCATCTCTACAAATAATTTTTTTTTTTGGAGATGGAGTTTTGCTCTTCTTGCCCAGGCTGGAGTGCAGTGGTGCGATCTCAGCTCACTGCAACCTCCACCTCCCAGGTTCAAGTGATTCTCCTGCCTCAGCCTCCCAAGTAGCTGGGATTACAGGCACCTGCCACTATGCCCAGCTAATTTTTTGTATTTTTAGTAGAGACGGGGTTTCGCCATGTTGGTCAGGCTCATCTCAAACTCCTGACCTCAGGTGATCCGTCTGCCTCGGCCCCCCAGAGTGCTGAGATTACTAGCGTGAGCCACCGTGCCTGGCCTTACAAATAAATTTTTTAAATAGCCAGACATAGTGGCACACACCTGTAATTCCAGCTACTTGGGAGGCTTAGGTGGGAGGATCACTTGAGCCCAGGAGTTGGAGGCTGCAGTGAGTTATAATCACACCACTGCACTCCAGTGTGGGAGACAGAGGGAGATCCTGTTCCAAAACGAAGGAGGAGAAGGCAGTGGGATAACATTCAAAGTGCTCAAAGAAAAATCTGTCAACCAAGAATCCTACATTCAGCAAAAATTGTCTTTCAAATATGAAGGCAAAATGAAGAGATTCCCAGATAAACAAAAATTGAGATAATTCATTGCTAGCAGACCCACCTTACAAAAAATACTAAAAGAAAGTTATTGAGGCATCCGGGCACGGTGGCTCACACCTGTAATCCCAGCACTTTGGGAAGCCAAGGCAGGTGGGTCACCTGAGGTCAGGAGTTTGAGACCAGCCTGGCCAACGTGGTGAAACCCCATCTCTACTAAAAATACAAAAATTATCCAGGTGTGGTGGCAGGCACCTGTAATCCCAGCTACTCGGGAGGTTGAGGCAAGAGAATCACTTGAACCTGGAAGGCAGAGGTTGCCGTGAGCCGAGATCATGACACTGCACTCCAACGTGAGCAACAACAGCGAAACTCCATCTCAAAAAAAAAAACAAGAAAAAAAGTTATTGAGGCTGAAACAAATGACTCTAGACAGTAATACACACACAAAGCATTAGTAAAGACGACATGCATATTTCTTTTCTTAACTAATTTTAAAAAGCAATTGAATATGTATATAATTTTATTGTTGGGACTATACCAAAGAAATGTAATATATTTGCCAATAACAGAACAAAGGAGGTGGATGGGAGCAAAGCTATATTGGACTAAGGAAATGACTCCCAGTGGTAATACAGGAACAAATGAAGAGAACCAGAAATGAGAAATAAATTTGATGCAATAAAAGCTATAAATATGTATTTATAGGCTAATGCAATAAAAGCTATAAATATATATTTATAGGCTAATGCAATAAAAGCTATAAATATATATAGGCTAATGCAATAAAAGCTATAAATATATTTTTTCTCCATTTTCTTCCCTCAGCTTTTTAAAAAAGTATAAAAGTAAAATTATAACAATGTGTTACTGGGTTTGTAACATATGTATGTATAACAATACCACAAGAGGAAACAGGGAATGGAGCTATATAGGAATAATATTTCTATATCTCTTTGGAATTTATTATAAATGTGAAGCAGACTCTGATGTTAAGATGTATGTATGGTAATATATATAATTTTTGCTTTCTCCATGCTTCCTATCTTTTCTGTTTCTTTATTCCTCTTTTACTTTCTTTTGCATTAAGTAAATATTTTCTGATGTAACATTAATTTTTAAATGATTTTTTACTATATATTTTTAAATTATTTCCTCAGTTGTTGCTCCAGGCAACAACTGGGATTACAGTTTATAAAGGTGTACTGTGAACAATTGTGTGCCAATAAATTGGATAACTTAGATTAAATGAGCAAATTATTAGAAGGACACAAACTACTGAAACTGACTCAGAAAGAGAAAATATGAATAGTTCTATAACAACTAAAGACATTTAACTAACTGTCCAACACTACCTACAAAGAAAAGCCCAGACATCACTAGACAAAGGTATCACAAGAAAAAGAAAACTACAGACCAGTATCTCTTATGAATATAGATGCAAAAATCCTCAACATACGCTAGCACAATCCAGCAACATACAAAAATAATTATACTCTATGACCAAGGGAGATTTATTCCAGGAATGGAAAGTTGACTTAATATCTGAAAATTAATGTAATACACTGTATCAATATAGTTTTTTTTTTTAAGTTTCACAATCAGCTGGGCGTGGTGGCTCACGCCTGTAATCCCAGCACTTTGGGAGGCCGAGGCGGGCAGATCATGAGGTCAGGAGTTCGACACCAGCCTGGACAACATGGTGAAACCCTGTCTCTACTAAAAATACAAAAATTAGGAGTGGTGGCATATGCTTGTAATCCCAGCTACTCAGGAGAATTGCCTGAACTTGGGAAGTGGAGGTTGCAGTGAGCCGAGATCACACCATTGCACTCCAGTCTGGGTGACAGAGCGAGACTCTGTCTCAAAAAAAAAAAAAAAAAAAAAAAAAAAAAGTCTCACAATCATCTCAATAGATGCATAAAAAGCAATCGACAAGCCCAATATTCTTTCATGGTAAAAAACATTAACAACATAGAAGGGAACTTCCTCAACTTGATAAAGGACATCTACAAAAACCCCACAGCTAACATTACACTTAATGGTGAAGAACTGGATACTTTCCCACTAAGATCAGGAACAAGACAAGCCCATTCTCAACATTTCTATTCAACATTGTACTGGAGGATCTAGCCAGAGCAGTTGGGCCCAAAAAATGACATAAAATGCATCTAAATTGGAAAAGAAGTAAAACTGTATCTATTTAGAGATGACCTGATCCTGTATGCAGGAAATTCTATGAAATCACTAAAAAAAATTAGGACAGATAATTGAGTTCAGCAATACTTCAGGATATAGGATCAATATGAAGAAATCAACTTATTTCTATATAGTAGCAATGAAAAATCTAAAATTGAAATTAAGAAAACAACTTTTAACATCAAAAAATTAAAGGCCTAATGATAAATTTAACAAAAGAAACAGAAAACATTCTGAAAACATTCAAATAAAATATTGTTGAAAGAAATTAACATCTAAATAAATGGAAAGACATTCTATGTTCATGGATCATAAGACTTAATGTTATTAAGATGGGAGTATTCCTCAACTTAATCTACAGATTCACCACAGTCTCTAGCAGAGAGACTTGTGAGAGACTCTCTTCCTTGTAGAAATTAACAAGCTGATTCTAAAATTTATGTGAAAACTCAAGGGATTCAGAATAGCCAAAACAATTTTGGAAGACAACAAAGTTAGAAGATTTACACTTTCCCATTTCCAATCTTACTACAAAGCTACAATAGTCAAGACAGTGCAGTACTGGTATAAGGATAGACATACAGATCAATGGAACAGGATTGGGAGTCCAGAAATAAACCCACATTTCTATGGTCAACTGATTTTCATCAAGGGTGAAAAAGAATAGTCTTTTCTACAAATGGCACTAGGATAGCTAGACAGGCTAATGCAAAATAATCAAGTTGGATCCTTACATCACACCATATGTAAAAATTGATGCAAAATGGATCAAAGACCTAAATGTAAGAGTCAAAACTGTAAAACTCTTACAAGAAAGCATAGGGGTAAATCTTCGTGACCTTGGATTTGGCAAGGATTCTTAGATAAGACAATAAAAGCACAAGCAACAAGCAAACAAATAAATAAATTGGACACCAAAATTAAAAACTTTTATGCTTCAAAGAACATCAAGAAAGTGAAAAGATAGCTTACAGAATGTGAGAAAATGTTTACAAAGTATGTATCTGATAAGGAAACGTGTATCCAGAATGTATAAAGAATGCCTACAACTCAACATTTAAAAGAAAAATAACCCAATTTTTAAAATGGTGAAAGACTTGAATAGACATTTTTCCAAAGAAGATATACAAATGGTCAGTAAGCGCATGAAAAGTTGCTCAACATCATTGGCCATCAGGGAAATGCAAATCAAAACCACAGTGAGATATCACTTTAACGCTCAGTAGAATGGCTATAAGCAAAAAGCTACATAACAACAAATGTTGCCAAGGATGTGGAGAAATTGGAACCCTCTACACTGCTGATGGGAATGTAAAATAATGCAGCCACTTTGAAAAGCCACCTGTCAGCTCTTCAAAAAGTTAAACATATAGAGTTACCATATGACCCAGATATATACGCAAAAGAATTGAAAACAGGTACTCAAACCAATACTTGTACACAAATGTTCATAGCAACACTATTCACAATAGCCAAAATGTGGAAACAACCCAAATGTCTATTGACTGATAAATGGAGAAAGAAAATGTCGTATGTCTATACCGTGGAATATTAATCAGTCACAAAAAGGATGAACCTTGTAAATATTTTGCTAAGTGAAAGAAGCCAGACACAAAAGATCACACGCTGCATGACTCTATTTATATAAAATATCCAGAATGGGTAAATCCATAGCAACAGAAAGCAAATTATAAATTGTTAGGGACTGGCCAGGTGCAGTGGCTCATGCCTGTAATCCCAGCACTTTGGGAGGCCAAGGCGGGTGGATCACTTGAGGTCGGGAGGTCAAGACCAGCCTGGTCAACATGATGAAAACCAGTCTCTACTAAAAGTACAAAAATTAGCCGGGCATGGTGGTGCATTCCTGTAATCCCAGCTACTTGGGAGGCTGAGGCACAAGAATCGCTTGAACCTAGGAGGTGGAGGTTGCAGTGAGCTGAGAACACGTTACTGCACTGCACTCCAGCCTGGGCAACAGAGCAAGACTCTGTCTCAAAAAAAAAAATTCTTCAGGACTGGAGAGAAGAAAATGTGACTGCATAATGGATGTGTGCATAATGGATGTGTGGTTTTTGTTTGGGGTAATGAAAATGTTTTGGAGCTTGATGAAGGTGATGGTTGCACAACATTGTGAATGCACTAAATGTCATTAAATTGTACACTTTTGTTAATTTTCTTATGTGAATTTCACTTTCAATAAAAAATGAAGGCTGGTCATGGTGGCTCATGCCTGTAATCCCAGCACTTTGGGAGGCCAAGGAAGGAGGATTGCTTGAGCCCAGGAGTTCAAGACCGGCCTGGGCAACATACCGAGACCCTATCTCTACAAAAAAAATTAATAAAAATTTTAAAAAGGAATGAAGTAGATATGTGCTACAACACGGATAAACCTTGAAAACATGCTATGTGAAAGAAGACAATCACAAAAAGTCACATATGATTCCATTTTTATAAAATGTCCAGAATGGTCAAATATATAGAGACAGACAAGATTAGTGGTTGCTTAGGGAAGGAGAGAGAAGAATGATATGGGCACCTGGGATGATAGCTAAAGGTTACAGAGTTTCTCTTTGAGGTGATGAAAATGTTCAAAACTGATTGTGGTAATGGTTGCATAAGTCTGAGAGTATACTTAAAACCACTGGATTGTACCATTTAAATGGGCGAATTGTATGATATGTGGATTATATTGCAAGAAAACTGTTTCAAAAAGGCCAGTATTGCATCAAATTGCATTTGGGTAATAGAAATATAACCCACAATCTCACCAATTTATCCTAACAGCTACATCATTTTGTTTAATCTCTTCTTGTGTTTGCCTGGGTGTGTATATCCATCATGCATAGGGTAGTGTTATTATCTGCTTTTTTACAGACAGACAAACTGAGACCCAGAGACGGCACTGTGTCTAAGAGCAACAGAAAAAGTGGTTTGAGCAGTGTGCTCTTGATGACAGTGTTGCTGTGTTAAACGAATTAATACATGAAAGGACTTGGAATACTGCTTGACATATCGTAAGTGCTCAAAAATGTTAGCTATTATTAGTAGACCACATGAAAGACTTTTAGAAATAACTGTATTGTGCTTATTCCCATTTTTGGCTTGGCTCACGTTATTCCCCCACCTAGATGGTTGCCTTTTGTTTGCTGCCTATTGAAATTGTTCCCTTGTTCAAGGCCCTGCTCAAATCTCCTCTTTCATGAAGCTGCTGACCTCTTCTTTCTGTGTGGTATTGTGCTCACAACATTGGCACACTTTAGCAGTCTCATGTTCTCATTGTTTTGTTGTTATTGGTCTTGTTTCTGTGACCAGCTCTTCTGCTCTATTAGAAATATTAGAAATATATTGTTGGCCAGGCACGGTGGCTCACGCCTGTAGTCCCAGCATTTTGGGAGGCCAAGGTGGGCGGATCACAACGTCAGGATTGAGACCATCCTGGCCAACATGGTGAAACCCCCGTCTCTACTAAAAATACAAAAATTAGCTGGTGGTGTGGTGGCACATGCCTGTAGTCCCAGCTACTTGGGAGGCTGAGGCAGGAGAATTGCTTGAACCTGGGAGGTGGAGGTTGCAGTGAGCTGAGATCGCGCCACTGCACTCCAGCCTTGCAACAGAGCGAGACTCAAAAATAAATATTTTTTTGGCTGGGAGTGGTGGCTCACACCTGTAATCCCAGCACTTTGGGAGGCCGAGAAGGTGGGCAGATCACCTGAGGTCAGGAGTTCGAGACCAGCCTGGCCAACATGGTGAAACTCCGTCTCTACTAAAAATACAAAAATTAGCTAGGTGTGGTGGCACGCGCCTGTAATCCCAGCTACTCAGGAAGCTGAAGCACGAAAATCTCCTGAACTCGGGAAGGCGGAGGTTGCAGACTTTAGTTCATTTTTGAATGGCAGATATAACTGTTGGTTGTTTTAATCATGGCACTTTTATGTGTCTAATATATTTGCCCAAATTTAAAAAAATTAAGAGAAAGAAATGTAGGCAACTGTCAGAATTAGTATATATCACGAACAAGTACTTGAAGGGATCTCTCAAGTGTATTCATTTTTAGCCATGATTAGTCATATAATACCATAAGTATATGTAGTTATATACCAAGGGAAGAAAGCTGACTCTTCCCAGTAAGTGATGGAACTGAGTACTTTTAAATGACATCTAGTTTTGTCCAATGAATAAGAGTTAATGCCTCTCTGACAGTGGCTCTGGATTTGGGCCTAATGACAGCATTTTTTAGAGGTAACCAGGTGACTCTGTTGTGCAGACAGGTTGAAAACTATACTGTTATGTGACATGATAATCGTTAAAAGACCAACACTGTAAGCCACAGCTAGAAATGTGTTCAGGAGCATAAAAAAATCAGGAAAGCATAGATTCTTTATACCAGAGCACTATCATTAGGTGGTGCTAAAAGTGCAGGAAAACCACATTAAGCTCTAAGTTTGGCCTGCCTCAGCCCACGTGTATATCATTTGTAGAAGGAAACAGAATACTGGGAAATAGCTGATAAGAGAAATTATAGCTAAAATACGTAGGGAATTATAGAAAGCAAATATGAAAAGGGAAAGAAAGCAGAAAAAGAACAAAGAAAACCACTTACAAGATGGAGTTTAAATCTGATGCTCTTCAGTGCCAGAATTGCCTGTTTTCAGAGTCATGCTTTTGTATATTAATAACACAGGTTCTCTAAGCATTTAGAAGTCTCTTATAGTTCTGAAAATTGAGAAAGGAAAAAAGTTTAAAGAGTCTAAAAAAATCAAGGTTGGGCGCATTGCCTCAGGCCTGTAATCCCAGCACTCTGGGAGGCCGAGGCGGGCGGATCACCTGAGGTCAGGAGTTCGAGACCAGCCTGGCCAACATGGTGAAACCTGTCTCTACCAAAACTACAAAAATTAGCTGGGCATGGTGGCACATGCCTGTAGTCCCAGCTACTCGGGAGACTATGGCAGGAGAATCACTTGAACCTGGAAGGTGGAGGTTGCAGTGAGCCAAGATCGCACCACTGTACTCCAGCCTGGGCAACAGAGCGAGACTCGTCTGAAAAAAAAAAAAAGAAAAAAGAATCTAAACAAATCAATATAAGTGATGGCAGCCAAGCGCAGTGGCTCACGCCTGTAATCCTAGCAGTTTGGGAGGCCGAGGTGGGTGGACCACGAGGTCAGGAGTTCAAGACCAGCCTAACATGGTGAAACCCTGTCTCTACTAAAAATACAAAAATTAGCTGGGCATGGTGGCATGCGCCTGTAATCCCAGCTACTCAGGAGTCTGAGGCAGGAGAATCACTTGAACCCGGGAGGCAGAGGTTGCAGTGAGCCGAGATGGTGCCACTGCACTCCAGCCTGGGCGACAGAGCGAGACTATGTCTCAAAAAAAAAAAAAGATGATGGCAAGCAAACTGATGCAAACTCTTAAAGAATACTGAGGCTAGGCTGGGCGTGGGGGCTCATGCCTGTAATCCCAGCACTTTGGGAGGCCGAGGTGGGTGGATCACGAGGTCAGGAGTTCAAGACCAGCCTGGCCAAGATGGTGAAACCCTGCACCTACTAAAAATAAAAAAAATTAGCCAGGCGTGATGGCAGGTGCCTGTAATCCCAGCTACTTGGGAGGCTGAGGCAGAGAATTGCTTGAACTTGGGAGGCGAAGGTTGCAGTGAGCCGAGATCACGCCACTGCACTCCAGCCTGTGCGACAGAATGAGACTGTCTCCAAAACAACAACAACAACAACAACGATAATAATAATAATAATAATAATGAGGCTCACACCTGTAATCCCAACACTTTGGGAGACCAAGGTAGGAAGATCGCTTGAGAATGTGAGACAAGCCTAGGAAAACATAGTGAGACTCCATTTCTACAAAAAAAAAATTAGCGGGGCATGGTGGTGTATGCCTGTAGTCCCAGCTACTCAGGAGGCTGAGGTGGGAGGCTCACTTAAGCCCAAGAGGTCAAGGCTGTAGTGAGTGATAATCATGCCACTGTATTCCAGTCTCCAGTCTGGGCAACAGAACGAGACCCTGTCTAAATAATAATAATAATAATAATAATGAAATGTTTCTCCTTTTAGTAAATATTTTTAAGTTGGCAAAACGACATCTCCTAAATATGTAAATTAAGGTATAGAGTACATAGCCTGCTAAACTCTGCACACTGTCTTTACTGTAGTTATCTGAAGAACTACCACCCTTTTTCTTCCTATCCAGGTGAGGCAGAGACACAAAGATATGGAAGAACATTGGACAGATTTACATCGATATATTAATTAAGGTGATTTCAGAGTTGGAGCAGGAGAGGAAGCCTTATAGATATTTTTTTTTCTTTTTGCTTGCTTGTATTTTCTTTTTAATTATTATTCAGTATTTCAAGTAGACAGAAAAGTACAGAGGATAATACAACAAATATCCAGGTACCCACCACCCAGCATTTTTACATAGTAGCATTTGATGTTTTGAAATAAGACATAAAACATTCCAAATACCCTATCACCGAGGATCCTGCATCCTCTTCTTTTCCCAGAAGTGAACATTTCTCTGAATTTGATGCTTATTATGCCCATGCATGTTGTTATACTTTTACTACATATTTTATGTAGCTACAGCATAATATGCTATGTTTACTTTATATAGTGACCTCATACTATACATATCCTCATGCAATTTTTTAGACTCTGTTTGAGAATTATATATTTTGATTCAGGTAGCTTAAGTTTATTTTAGCTACTCAGTAGTAATGTATTCTATTAATCTACTAATATATATTTCTTGTCTATGGACATTGAGGTTATTTTCAGTTTTTTCTTTAATGTTGTAGCAAAAACTTTCACTCATTTTTCTTGTGCCTACATGGGTATACACATTGTGAACTTGACTAAACATTTGCAAAAAGTTTTCTCCGGCGTTGTACCAGCTTAGGCTCACAAGCAGCATATGAAAGTCCCAGTTGTTCTGTTTCCTCACCAAAAATCGGGGTTATATCAGTCAGAATAACTAAATTATGCTACAGTAACACAATCACAAAAATCTCAGTGTCTTAATTCAACGGTCTATTTCTTCTTCATGAAGTTTTGTTATCATAGTCACTCAGGGACCAGGGCTGATGGAGCTTCCATCCTGACACCTGCTTCAATGAAGTAGGGGAAAAAACTGACTAAAGGGCTCAAATTTGGCTCTTCCCAATTTCTGCACACAAGTGACGATATCAATTCTGCTCACAATTAGTTGGCTCACACTTGTTTTAACAAGTCTTGTGACCACATCTAACTTCAAAGAGTTCCCACTCCTACCTTTAGGATCTGAATGTCTGTGAATGATGACTGCAGGTACTGATAAACAATACTTTTTCTAGTGCAGTGAGTATGAAATAGTCTCTTTATTTTTATTTATATGTCCTGATTATTTATGAGGTTGAACATACATTCATTAAGTTTGTTGGTCACTTATGTTTTCTTTTTTGAAAATTACCTGCTTATATCCTTTGCCCATTGTCTTAGTCCATTTATGCTGCTATAACAGAATACCCCAGAGTGGGTAACTTATAAAGAACAGAAATGTATTTCTCACAGCTCTGGAGGCTGGGAAGTCTAAGCTCAAGTAACTGGCATTTGGTCTGGTGAGGGCCTTCCTGCTGTGTCCTCACAGGGCAAAAGATGGAAAGGCAAGCTAGGTAAATGCTGCATGGAGCCCTTTTCCTTCTTTCCTTCTTTCCTTCCTTCCTTTTTCTTTCTCTTTCTCTCCCTCCTTCCTTCCTTCTCTCCTTCCTTCCTTCCTTCGTTCCTTCCTTCCTCCTTCCCTCCCTCCTCCCTCCCTTCCTTCTCTTTTTTCTTTCTCTCTTTTTCTTTCTTTTCTTCTTTCCTCTCTTTCTTTCCCTTTCCTTTCCCTTCCTTTCCTTTTCCCTTTCCTTTTCTTTCGTTTTTGACAGAGTCGTACTCTGTCGCCCAGGCTGGAGTGCAGTGATGTGATCATGGCTTACTGCAGCCTTGATCTTATCTGGCTCAGGTGATCCTCCCACCTCAGCCTCCCAAATAGTTGGGACTACAGGTGCACACCACCACATTCAGCTGATTATTTTTTTCTATTTTTTATTTTTTATTTTTTTGTAGAGACAAGGTTTTGCAATGTTGTCCAGGCTGGTCTCAAACTCCTGGGCTCAAGTGATCAGCTCACCTCAGCCACTCAAAAGTATTGGGATTACAGGTGTGAGCCACCACAGCTAGCCCTTTTGCCCTTTTTTTTTTTGAGATGGAGTCTCGCTCTGTCACCCAGGCTGGAGTGCAGTGGTGCGATCTTGGATCACCGCAAGCTCCGCCTCCTGGGTTCACGCCATTCTCCTGCCTCAGCCTCCTGAGTAGCTGGGACTACAGGCACCCGCCACCACGCCCAGCTAATATTTTGTATTTTTAGTAGAGACGGGGTTTCACCGTGTTAGCCAGGATGGTCTCGATCTCCTGACCTCGTGATCCACCCGCCTCGACCTCCCAAAGTGCTGGGATTACAGGCGTGAGCCACCGCGCCCAGCCTAATGCTCATATATTATTTATCTTTTGGCCCAGTAATGCAACTTCTAGGAATTTACTATGAAGATACAACTTGACAAATATAAAACAATACAAGCATAAGACTACTCATTGTAGAGTTATTTATACACAATAGCAATAATGTGGAAACAACTCAAATGTCCATCAGCAAGAGACTGGGTTGAATAATAGGACATCAGCACTCTGGAGTATTGCACAGCTATTAAAAAAACAAGGACAGGCTTTGCACAGTGGCTCACTCCTGTCATGCCAGCACTTTGGGAGGCTGAGGTGGGAGGAAAGCTTGAGCCCAGGAGTTCAAGACCAGCCTGGGCAACATAGTGAGATGTCATCTCTACAAAAAATAAAATTACCTGGGTATGGTGGCACATCCTGTGGTCCCAGCTACTTAGGAGGCTGAGGTGGGAGGACTGCTTGAGCCCAGGAGGTTGAGGCTGTAGTGAGGTGAGATCATGCCACTCAACCTGGGTGACAGAACAAGACCCTCAAAAAAAAAAAAAAAAAAACAGAGCAAGGACAATGATGATTTCTGTGAATTGATATGGAAAGAAAGAACTATATAGAGCAAGATAATTTTGTTCAAGAAATACAAACAAGACTCTAATAGATTCTCTTTAACAGTACAGTCCATTTACTATTTCAGTTAACAGTATGTTTACATTAGTCCAAAAACAAATATATGTATTTATTTTTGCAAAAAGAAACAGAGATGTAGCTGGGCATGATGGCTCACGCCTGTAATCCCAGCATTTTGGGAGGCCGAGGTGGACGAATCACGAGGTCAGGAGTTCGAGACCAGCCTGGCCAACATGGTGAAACCCCGTCTCTACTAACAATACAAAAAATTAGCTGGGCATAGTGGTGGGTGACTGTAATCCCAGCTACTCAGGAAGTTGAGGCAGGAGAATTGCTTGAACCTGGGAGGCGGAGGTTGCAGTAAGCTGAGATTGCTCCACTGCACTCCAGCCCAGGCGACAGAGTGAGACTGCATCTAAAAAAAAAAAAAAGAAAAAGAAACAGAGATGTACCAAAAATAATGAACTAGGTTATCTCTGGGGGACAGAGGAAGGAATAGGTGGAAGGGATAGAGCTGAGGAAGCTAGACTTTTCTAAGCATAACTTTTTACATAGTTTTGACTTAAAAAAATTTTAACTTTGAAATTATAGATTAAAACCAGGTGTGGTGGCTCATGCCTGTAATCCCAGCACCTTGGGAGGCCGAGGTGGGCAGATAGCTTAACTCAGGAGTTCAAGACCAGCCTAGGCAACATGGCAAAATCCCATCTCTACAAAAAATACAAAAATTAGCCAGGCGTGGTGTTGTATGCCTGTAGTTTCAGCTACTTAGGGGGCTGAGGCAGAAGGATCCCTTGAAACAGGGAGGTCAAGGCTGCAATGAGCAGAGATCGTACCACTGCACTCCAGGCTGGGCAACAGAGTGAGATCCTGTCTCAAAACAAACAAAAACAAAAAAATGTGACTTGCAAAATAATGCATTGGAGTTACTGCTCTCTTAATACAAATGCTTTGAATTGTGTCTCTGCTTGTCACCCCTGGCCTCTTTTACACCCTGGGGCAATGTGCCATTGTTAGACAAGGAGGATATGTATACCTTCCTTTTGGAAAAAGGATGACTGTAAAAGCAGAAATAAGAAAAGAGAAGCTGTGCCCACAACACTAACATGCTTTTAGGCAAGTCAATTTTAGGAAAGAGTTTATATGAAACTGAAGATCTGGGAATTGATCCCTTAAGAACAAAGTCTGAGTACCCTTTGAAGTCCACTGGTATACCCGTGCCTTTTTGCCTACTCCTTTTTATTCTTACAACCTACTCCAATTGCACCTCTGTCTCCACAACTCAATTGAACATACTTTACAAAGGCCATCAATGACATGCACATTGCTAAACATACACAAAAAATCATGAGCAAGTAGTTACAAGCTTTAGGACAGATATAAAAAGAAATTCTAACGCAGAAATTTTATCCAAAGTTTCATCCATTTTATAATCAATATTAGTAAAAAAGACCAAGACACATGGGCTGGGTGCGGTGGCTCATGCCTGTAATTACAGCACTTTGGGAGGCCGAGGTGGGTGGATCACCTGAGGTCAGGAATTTGAGACCAGCCTGGCCAACAGGGTGAGACCCCATCTCTACTTAAAACACAAAAATTAGCAGGGCATGGTGGTGCACACCTGTTGTCCCAGCTACTTGGGAGGCTGAGACAGGAGAATCTCTTGAACCTGGGAGGCGGAGGTTGCAGCGAGCCAAGATCACGCCACTGCACTCCAGCCTGGGTGACAGACTGAGACTCTGTCAAAAACAAAAACAAAACAAAACAAAAAGACTTAAGACATGGAGTACATTAGTTTAGGGACAGGTCTCCTGATCTAGCCGGCTCCAAGCAGGAGTGAGATAGTTGTGCAGGGGTGCATTTAAGCAAACCTGGCTGGTCCATTTTCTGAACTAGCCAGTCCACTAGAATTTTGATGAAGCATCTCATCAGGTATGGACATGTTGACTAAGAGTCAACTCTGTAAAATGTTTGAAGAGATTTATTCTGAGCCAAATATGAGTGATTATGACCCGTGACACGGCCCTCAGGAGGTCCTGAGAACATGTGCCCAAGGTGTTCGGGGCACAGCTTGGTTTTATACATTTTAGGGAGGCATGAGACATCAATGAAATACGTTTAAGAAATAACATTGGTTTGGTTCAGAAAGATGGAGCAACTCAAAGCAGGGATTTCCAGGCTATAGGTAAAGGTAAACATTTTCTTTTTTTTTTCTGTGATGGAGTCTCACTTTGTTGCCCAAGCTGGAGTGCAGTGGCACGATCTCTGCTTACTGCAACCTCTGCCCGCCGGGTTCAAGCAATTCTCCTTCCTCAGCTTCCCAAGTAGCTGGGACTACAGGTGCATGCCACTACGCCCGGCTAAATTTTTGTATTTTAGTAGAGACGGGGTTTCACCATGTTGCCCAGGCTGGTCTCGAACTCCTGAGGTCAGGCAATCTGCCCGCCTTGGTCTTCCAAAGTGCTGGGATTAGAGGCATGAGACACTGTGCCCAGCCAATTTAAACATTTTCTAATTGACAAATGGTTGAGTTCACAATTGTCTGAAGACCTGGGATCAATAGGAAGCACATGTTCAGGTTAAGATAAAAGATTATAATACTTCAAAAGGTTCTTTTGAAGTCTTATAATGGCTACCCTTAGAGATGATAGATGACAAATGTTTCCTATTCAGACCTTTAAAACAATGCTAGACTCTCAGTCTCTTCAGGATTGGGAGGGCCTGGAAGAAAAAGATCTAGCTGTGTTAATAGAGATTCTTTACAGATGCATATTTTCCCCCACAAAGCACAGCTTTGCAGGACCATTTCAAAATATGGCAAAGAAACATGTTTTGGGGTAAAATATTTTGACTTTCTTCTTTGTCACATGTCATGCCAGAGTCAGACTGGAAAGCAAGTCACCATATATAGGGTTAAATAAAACTCATCTGATGAGAATTTATGGTTTGTTGGGCATGACTCCCCAGGCCCCTTAGATAGGAATTTGGGCCAGATTAAAAAAAAAAAAAAAAATCAAAGCTTAGTCCTGAGGCAGCTTCTGAAATGGTGGGAAAAAATGTGAGTTTTGAGGAAACATTTGGTTCAGCCATTGTTCTTAAGAGATACTGACATTTCAACCTACTATAAAGAGGGAAATTTAAAGTATTAAAGTATTAATGAGTTGGTAGGACCCGCTTTTCTTTTTTTTTTTTTTTTTAATTCACTGGCCCCGAAAGAAACTTCTCTGTCAGGCCACAATATAACCAGATACCAGACACACGAGATGTTTTGGAGGGAGGGTGGTGGAGCCAAGATTGCAGCTCCTTATTGAGGAAAACAGTCCTCAGAGATCCAGAGTCATTTCTCCTGTGTTCAGCTTGAAAACCTTGGGCAACTTCTGGAGATTTCAACGTCTCACAGAGTGCGGAAACATGACTGGCGCAGCATCCTTTCCGGAATTGGTGATGTCCTTCCTGTAAGGGTTGATTTTCCATCTCATCAACCAAATCGGGAAAGCCGCAGCATCCTTTTCTCCAAGAATGACAGGTGGTTTATCTCAGGCTTTTCTGTCCCGGCGCCTTTCTCTCCAATGCAGTCTATGGAATATATATATAGAGAGAGAGCGTGAGAGAGAGAGAGACGGAGTCTCGCTCTGTCGCCCAGGCTGAAGTGCAGTAGCGCGATCTTGGCTCACTGCAAGCTCCGCCTCCCGGGTTCACGCCGTTCTCCTGCCTCAGCCTCTCGAGTAGCTGAGACTACAGGCGCCCGCCACCACGCCCAGCTAATTTTTTTGTATTTTTAGGAGAGATGGGGTTTCACCGTGTTAGCCAGGATGGTCTCGATCTGCTGACCTCGTGATCCGCCCGTCTCGGCCTCCCACAGTGCTGGGATTACAGGCATGAACCACCGCGTCCGGCCTGGAATATTTTAAAATATGCAGATTATTAACCCCGACACTTTTGAAAGTCCTTTGTAACCAACTTCCTCCTCAATATAAAATATTAATGTAATTTGGCCGGGTGAGGTGGCTCACGCCTGTAATTCTAGCACTTTGGGAGGCCGAGGCGGGTGGACTGCCTGAGCTCAGGAGTTTGAGACCAGCCTGGGCAACACGGTGAAACTCCGTTTCTACTAAAATACAAAAAATTAGCCGGGTGTGGTGGCGCGCGCCTGTAATCCCAGCTACTCAGGAGGCTGAGGCAGGAGAATTGCTGGAGTCCGGGAGGCGGAGGTGCAGTGAGCCGAGATCGCGCCACTGCACTGCAGCCTGGGGAACAGGGCGAGAATCCGACTCTTTAAAAAAAGAGAAAAAAATTTAAGTAATTTAATTTTTTATTTTTTTCCGCCCCCGCCGTCCCGCCCCTAGCATTAATTTTTAAAACTCGCTTTAGACACCGTTTGGAGGGGGCCAGGTGCTGAATACCTGCTGATGTAATGCAGTGATTTTTTGTTTGAGGGCCACAGGAAGACCCCTTGTGGCTGTTGTACTGGCATTCCCTCTTCATAGCAGGGATGGTGCCTCTGGACATTTTCCGACAGCAGGGATCGTTGGGTGAGGTTAGCAGCGCCAGCCCGGGTTAGCGGAAGCAGCCTTCAGGTCTCCTAGGAGAGCAGGTTTATGAGCATGCGCAGCGGATTTTCCGTTAGGGAAGCCGATGGGGCGCGGCTCCTTGGAGCATGCGCACACAAACTTTCCGCTAGGAATCAAGCGAGCATGCGCACACAGATGTTAGGGTTCGGGCGAGCTATTTGGAGCCTGCGCAGTCAGATCCGAGGACATGTTGACGTCGTCCGAGAGTCTTAAAATCCTGCTCTGGCCGGATTCCAGACTCGTGGGGGAAAGGCTGGTATGTTCGTTTTATAACAGGAGTTTTAGCGTCATCTTTTGTCCTTGGATAAGTTTTTCCAAATATAAATATATTAAATATTCATTTAAAATATCTAAGAATTAACAGGCAGCAGTGCATTAGACAAATGGGCGAAGTACTGGGGTACCAAGTTCACAGAAAAATAGTAGTTAAAAATAGACTTTAAATATATGAAAAGATGCTTAGCTGCATGTTTTTGTGTTTTTTATTTATTTATTTATTTTTTTGAGATGGAGTCCTGTGTTGCCCAAGCTGGAGTGCAGTAATGCAATCTCGGCTCACTGCACCCTCCGCTGCCCGGGTTCAAGTGATTCTCCCACCTCAGCCTCCCGAGTAGCTGGAATTACAGGCAGGTGCCACCACGCCAGGCTAATTTTTATATTTTTAGTAGAGATGGGGTTCACCATGTTGGCCAGGCTGGTCTCGAACTCCTGACCTCAGGTTATCGGCCTGCCTCAGACTCCCAAAGTGCTGGGATTACAGGCGTGAGCCACCGCGCCCGGCCTGTTTTGTATTTTATTTTTTCTGAGACAGGTGGCACGATCACAGCTCACTACAGCCTCCACTTCCCAAGCCCAAGCAATCCTCCCACCTCAGTTTCACCAAGTGCTAGGATTACAGGCCAGCTTCAGTTTTAATAAAAATGCAAATCATCATGATTGGTGAACATTGAAACGTTTGGTAATATACTCAATATAGGAGGGTGTCAGGAAAACAGGTGCAGTGTTACAGTGCTAGTAGGAGCAGAATGCAGCAATCCTTAGTGGTTATCAAAACCACACTGAATAATATTTGCATTTTGATCCAACAATCCCACTTTGGGGAATTTTGCCTCCAAATACACTTGCATACATGTAAAGTAATATGTGTATGAGATTATTGATTGTAATAGCAAAAGGTTGTAAACTACGTGAGTATCCATCAGAAGACTGATATTATAAACTACAGTACATACACACAATGGAACATTATGCAGCTATGAAAAAGAGTGAGGAATCAGTTCCCAACATACTAATGTGGAACCATCTCTAGCATATCTTACTAAGCGAAAAAAGCCCAGGTGCCAAACAGTGTATAAATTATGCTTTTTGTGTAGAAAAGGATAAATGAGAGTCATATGATCCTTATTTCCACATAAATTCTGGCAATATACTCAAGAAACTAATAGTCATGGTTTCTTATGAGATGGAGGGTAGGACTGAGATAGGGTGAGAGACTTCTCAATGTATTCCTCATTATAATATATTGAATTATCTGAATGCTGTTCATTAAAAACAAAAATAACACTACAATAACTTTTTTTAAAAAAGCTAGAAACATATAATATTAAAAAAGGGGCCAGGTGCGGTGGCTCATGCTTGTAATCCCAGCATTTTGGGAGGCCGAGACGGGCAGATCACGAGGTCAGGAGATGGAGACCGTCGTGGCCAATGTGGTGAAACCCCGTCTCTACTAAAAATACAAAAATTAGACTGGCGTGGTGGCGCATGCCTGTGGTCCCAGCTACTCAGGAGGCTGAGGCAGGAGAATTGAATCGCTTGAACCAGGGAGTCGGAGGTTGCAGTGAGCCGAGATGGCGCCACTGCACTCCAGCCTGGCGACAGAGCAAGACTTCGTCTCAAAAAAAAAAACAAAAAACAAAAAAACTGGAGGCTGGGTGTGTGGCTCACACCTCTAATCCCACCACTTTGGAAGACTGAGACAGGAGGATTGCTTGAGCACAGGAGTTTTGAGACCAACCTGGGCAGCATGGTGAAAACCCACATCTACAAAAAGAACATCAACAACAAAAAACCTCCAAATTAGATGGGAGTGGTGGTGGGCGCCTGTAGGCCCAACTACCCGGGAGGCTGAGGTGGGGGGATCGGTTGAGCCCAGGAGACAGAGGTTACAGTGAGCTGAGATCCTGCCACTGCACTCCAGCCTAGGCAACAGAGGAAGACTCTCAAAAAAAGAGAAAGAAAGAAAAAAAGGTGAAATTATGGGAGATTTTTCCTTTCCTTTCCTTTTTTTTTTTTGACAAGGTTTTCTCTGTTGCCGAGACTGCACAATGGCGCCATCACAACTCACTGCCCAGGCTCAAGCGATCTGCGGGCCTCGGCTTCCCAAAGTGTTGGGATTACAGGGGTGAGCCACTTTTCCCAGACAATAATATTATTTTACATGTTTTTACACACAAAAGAGTTTTCTTGGAATAACAAGAGTTCATCCAAAGTGTTTTACCAATTTCCATTTCCATCTGCAGTATCGAAAACCTTCCTCTTGCTGCATGTCCTCACCAGTTCTTAGAATTGACAGACTACTTTTTTTTGTCAATCCTGTGGTATAAAATATTACCTGATTTTGTTTTCACTTTGCATTTCTGTGATAATTAGCGAGGTGAGCCTCTTATATTTATTGCCCATTCGTCCTTTGTCCTTTGAGAAGTACCTTTTTTCTATTTTGCCTTTCCCTTTTTTATAGGCGTTTTAAAAATATTCTATACGTTGATCCTTTAAAGATTATTTGTGTGGCAAATATTTTCTACCAGTCTGTGGGTTGCCTTTTTGTTTGTTTTTTGTTTGTTTTGAGACTGAATCTTGCTCTGTCGCCCAGGCTGGAGTGCAGTGGTGTGATCTTGGCTCACTGCAACCTCCGCCTCCTGGGTTGGAGCAATTCTCCTGCCTCATCCTCCCGAGTAGCTGGGACTACAGGCACATGCCACCACGCCTGGCTAATTTTTTGTATTTTTAGTAGAGATGGGGTTTTGCCATGTTGCCCAGGCTGGTCTCAAACTCCTGACCTCAGCTGATGCTCCTGCCTTGGCTTCACAAAGTGCTGGGATTACAGTGTGGGTTGCCTTTTAACATAATTTCTGTTTTGTTTTTAACTTTGGAAAGGAATATATATGGAATATATATATTTAAATATATGTATTATATATAATATATAAAAATGTATATGTATTATATATATAATATATAAAAATATATATGTATATATTTTTTAGATGGAGTTTCGCTCTTGTTGCCCAAGCTGGAGTGCAATGGTGCCATCTCGGCTTACTGCAACCTCCGCCCCCTGGCTTCAAGCAATTCTCCTGCCTCAGCCTCCTGAGTAGCTGGGATTACAGGTGCCTGCCACCACGTCCAGCAAATTTTTATATTTTTGGTAGAGATGGGGTTTCACCATGTTGGCCAGGCTGGTCTCGAAATCCTGACCTCAGGTGATCTACCTGCCTCAGCCTCCCAAAATGCTGGGATAACAGGCATCAGCCATGCACCTGGCCTGGAAAGGAATATTTTAATAAAATTATTTTTATTGTTTTACTTGTTTTGGAAATAGAGGATAGTTTTTTAACTAATTTTAAAATCTGACACTAATGTTTATTACTCATTTGGATATCCTCTTGCGTGAAATGCCTGTTCAAGACTTTTGCCCATTTTCTATTGTCTTATTGATTTACAAGAGTTCTTTATATATTCTGAGTACATGTCCTTTGTATATGAATAGTGTTTAGCTTGTCTTTTGTTTTTTTGAGATGGATCCTCGCCTTGTCACCCAGGCTGGAGTGCAATGGCACAATCTCGGCTCACTGCAACCTCCGTCTTCCAGGTTTAAGCGATTCTCCTGCCTCAGCCTCCTGAGTATCTGGGATTACAGGTGCACAACACCACACCCCGCTAAGTTTTGTATTTTCAGTAGAGACGGGGATGTTGATAATAGGGAGGCTATGCCTGTGTCGGGGCAGGAGGTCTATGGGAAAACTCTGTATCTTCTGCTATATTTTGCTCCGAACCTAAAACTACTCTAGAGAAATAAGGTTTTCAAAACAAACAAGAAGTCCTCCACAATCTGTCTAACCTCCTGGTACAAACATGAGCGCAGATGAGCTTCAAGGGCAAGGTGAAATTCACAAACATTGCTTCAGATATGAAGCCTAACTACGGAGACCAAAAAATATCTCCCCTCTGACTTCAAGCATGGCTTGTGTATCTGTATTCAACAAGAATAACGTTTTTGTGGGGGATTAGAGTCGGGAGAGTGAGTGTGGTTTTCTCCAGAGTGGGAGTTAACCAGTATGTAGGAGGAAGGGTGTTTCAGGGCCATAGATGTGTCCTGCTATAACTTTGTAGTCCTGGATGCTGTAATAAGGCCTCCTGCAGACCTTCGTTCTATTCCACAGCTGCCCGGGGTGTTTATAAAAGTGCAACTTCAAGGTTTATTCCAGAGCTAAAGTCAGAAAAACTTTTGGCCCTTCTCTGTATCTCAGCACTTGCAAGGCTGTCCTGGTCCAAGGTAGAGAGTGTGCAACTGAAAATAGGGACGCTGTGGACTTTCTGGGCCAAGTTCCCCGTCTAGATGTTGGGCGCCTTTCTTTTTTTTTTTTTTTTTTTTTTTTGAGACAGTTTCGCTCTGTTGCCCAGGCTGGAATGCAGTGGCACAATCTTGGCTCACTGCAACTTACGCCTCCCAGGTTCAAGCAATTCTCCTGCCTCAGCCTCACAAGTAGCTGGGATTACAGGCATGCACCACCACGCCTGACTAATTTTGTATTTTTTTAGTAAAGATGGGGTCCTCCATGTTGGTCAGGCTGGTCTCGAACTCCTGACCTCAGGCGATCCGCCTGCCTTGGCCTCCCAAAGTGCTGGGATTACAAGCATGAGCCACCGCACGTAGATGATACCGGGTTTCTTGATGGGGGAGCCCAAAAGAGGCATCTCAAAGGTAATTTTCATGAAGGCAGATTTGAGTAAACAGAGGAAGTGGCTTAGTCTACTTCTTGTCCCTGTTTGGAGATGGCCTTTCCCGGGACTAGGTAGGTGTTATGGTCATGTTGCATAATACTGGGTCTGCAAAGATCGCCGAATGGTTGATGGAAGAATACTATAGCAAGTCATGGATATTCTCTGTAGGGCCAGGTGCTGAGGGTTGGTGAAGTTGTCCTTTGGGGTTAGATCTCAGTTCTCCCTTAGGCCAAGAGTCAGTAAACTAAAACTCAGCCACATTCCTCTGATCCAAGTTCTGTGCCCCAGGGATCTAGGACTCCTGGGATGGAGGTGCACCTGGCCTTAAGTTTTCTTTTAGATTCTAGTGAGGTCTTGGCTATCCAGGATTGCTCCTAACACTAAGAGCACCTCCAGCAAGAGTATAGCTGGCATTACTGTATAAACTCCCCTTCATGGGAAGCCTAGCTCTTGAAGGTACTTCTTGATCTCTATAAAAGAGGAGTGAGAGCCACAGTGAGTCCTGCACTAACAGGATCATCCTGCGATGTTGAGAGGGAAAATGGGCCTCCTGGACAGAAACACTGAGACACCTTGGGGCCTGCTGTAAGATCCACATCGGTCCCCCTCCACATGTTCCTTTATGCCCACATATAGTCAGTCAGATGCAGCTACAAGAGGAGACATGAGAGGCTCAGGAAAACAAAGCTGACTGTCCTCACAGGCCCTAGAAACAGGAGGCGCTGCACACCACATAGGGCCAGTAGGAAAGCCCCACAGCATGGAGCAGGAGGTAGAGGGGGCAAGAACTACAGGAGAGAATAGCTCATCACTTTTGTTGGAGTTTATGAGGAAAAGGCAAGGGAGGGCAAGCTAAACATCTCAAGATTGGCTACTTTGAATAGTTTCAGGGCTCTACTTGGCCTAGGGATGCTGGAGGCAGAGGAATGTTGTCTCCTGAGGTGTGCTGGCCAGATGGAGTAGACTTGGCTCTGGATTGGTTAGTTTCATATCAAAGGGATGCCACAGGCTGCACCCTTTGCTTTCACTAAGAATTGGCTGGTCCCAGGAGGGGCAGCCTCAGCTAGAAAGGTTTTTAAGATGTCAAAACAGACTGGGTGCAGTGGCTCACGCCTGTAATCCCAGCACTTTGGGAGGCCGAGGCGGGAGGATCACAAGGTCAGGAGTTCAAGACCAGCCTGGCCAAGATGGTGAAACCCCGTCTCTACTAAAAATACAATCATTAGCCAGGTGTGATGGCAGGTGCCTGTAATCCCAGCTACTTGGGAGGCTGAGGCAGGAGAATCGCTTGAACCCGGGAGATGGAGGTTGCAGTGAGCTGAGATTGCACCACTGCACTCTAGCCTGGGTGACAGAGCAAGACTCCGTCTCAAAAAAAAAAAAAAAAAGATGTCAAAACATTATAATATACAGAAAATCAAAATATATAAATACAGGCTATACTAGATACCTATTGCTGCATAACAAGTGACTCCAAAACTTAGCAGCTTAATTCAAACATTTATTAACTCTTAGCTTCTGTGAGCTTGGTGATCCTGGCTCAGGGTCTTTCTAGAGGTTGCAGTCAAGATGTTAGTCTAAAGTAATCTGAAGACTCATTTGGGGGAGAATCCATTTCCAAGCTTCTTCACATGGTTATTGGCAAGAAGCCCTAGTTCCTCCCTGGCTGTTGGAAGGAGGGAGGGCTCAGTTCTTCAGCATGTGAGTCATTCCATGGGCTGCTTGAGTGTCCTTACAACATGGCAACTGGCTTCTCCCAGAGCAGGTGACCTGAGAGAAAAGGCAAGGAGGAAGCCACATTTGTTTTATGACCCACTCTCGGAACTCACAGACCCTCACTTTTGCTTCATTTTAGTCATTAGAAGAGATTTACTACTATAAATCCAGTCCACACTCAAGGGAAGGGAGGAATATTAAAACCATCACAAAGTCCAACACCAAATTGATCTCCACAAATTCAGTCCAGGTACATTGTGGCAAAGGCCACCCTGCCCTGGTTTGCCACAGATCCAGTGATTTCAGTCTCTTAGAGACAATGGCATTTAAACCATGAAGCTTCTCCCTTTTGTGGATTAGAGGTGTGAGATTTCTGGCGCATCATGGTGAGTCTCATTTGGAGTCTGCACAAAGTTGAGGCTCCCAGGTCTCCCAGGGTCAGGTTTTCAGAAGGCCATACTTTAAAGGCTGGGGGTAGAACAACGAGTGGTTTAGGAAATGCAGGACGGGGATCCTGCCAACACCGGTTTTTGGAGTGGACTCTCTCCTTAAAGCTACCTGGTAACCTGACTGTGCTGTTTACTAAACATTACCAAGCATGTCGGGCGCGGTGGTTCATGCCTGTAATCCCAGCACTTTGGGAGGCCGAGGCGGGCAGATCACGAGGTCAGGAGATCGAGACCATCCTGGCTAATATGGTGAAGCCCCATTTCTACTAAAAATACAAAAAATTAGCCAGGCGTGGTGGTGGGCACCTGTAGTCCCAGCTACTCAGGAGGCTGAGGCAGGAGAATGGCGTGAACCCGGGAGGCGGAGCTTGCAGTGAGCCGAGATCATGCCATTGCACTCCAGCCTGGGCAACAGAGTGAGACTCCATCTCAAAAAAAAATTAAAAAAAAAAGCTGGGGCCGGGCGCAGTGGCTCACGCCTGTAATCCCAGCACTTTGGGAGGCTGAGGCGGGCAGATTACCTGAGGTCAGGAGTTCGAGATCAGCCTGGGCAACATGGTGAAACCCCATCTCTACTAAAAATACAAAATTAGCTGGGCGTGGTGACACATGCCTGTAATCCCAGCTACTCGGTAGGCTGAGGCAGGAGAATCGCTTGAACCTGGGAGGAGGAGGATGCGGTGAGCCAAGATTGCGCCATTGCACTCCAGCCTGGGCAACAAGAGTAAATCTCCATCTCACCAAAAAAAAAAAAAAAAAAAGCCAGGCGCGCGCGGTGGCTCGCGCCTGTAATCCCAGTACTTTGGGAGGCCAAGGTGGGCGGATCACCTGAGGTCAGGAGTTTGAGACCAGCCTCAACATGGAGAAACCCCGTCTCTACTAAAAATACAAAATTAGCCGGGCGTTGTAGTGCATGCCTGTAATCCCAGCTACTCGGGAGGCTGAGGCAGGAGAATTGCTTGAACCTGGGAGGCAGAGGTTGGGGTGAGCCGAGATGGTGCCATTGCACTCCTGGGCAACAAGAGCAAAACTCCGTCTCCAAAAAAAAAAAAAAAAAACAACATTACCAAGCATCATTATAAATGAAGGGAAAATAGAAGTGAGGACAGAGAGGAGGAAGACAATTTAAAATGTTTCAGTAAATCAATAGTAGAAGGATAAAGATGTGAAATTTATTTATTTATTTTTTGAGACGGAGTCTCGCTCAGTCACCCAGTCTGGAGTGCAGTGGCGCGATCTCAGCTCACTGCAAGCTCCTCCTCCTGGGTTCATGCCATTCTCCTGCCTCAGCCTCCTGAGTAGCTGGGACTACAGGCGCCCACCACTACGCCTAGCTAATTTTTTTTGTATTTTTAGTAGAGACTGGGTTTCACCATGTTAGCCAGGGTGGTCTCAATCTCCTGACCTCGTGATTCACCCGCCTTGGCCTCCCAAAGTGCTGGGATTACAGGTGTGAGCCACCGCGCCTGGCCAAAGGTGTGAAATTTAAAATGTATAAACTGGGCGCGGTGGCTCACGCCTGTAATCCCAGCACTTTGGGAGGCCGAGGTGGGCAGATCACCTGAGGTCAGGAGTTCAAGACCAGCCAGGCCAACATGGTGAAACCCCGTCTCCACTAAAAATATAAAAATTAGCTGGGCATGGTGGTGCACACCTGTAATCCCAGCTACTCAGGAGGCTGAGGCAGGAGAATCTCTTGAACCTGGGAGGCAGAGGTTGCAGTGAGCTGAGATCGTGCCACTACATTCCAGCCTGGGTGACAGAGCAACACTCCGTCTCAAAAAAAAAGAAAAAGAAAGAAAAAAAGAAAATATGTCTTCCTTTACTTCAGATAAAATTTAGTATTTGGCTAGGCGCGATGGCTCACGCCTGTAATCCCAGCACTTTAAGAGGCTGAGGTGGGTGGATCACTTGAGGTCAGGAGTTCAAGACCATCCTGGCTAACATGGTGAAATCCCGTCTCTACTAATAATACAAAAATTAGCTGGGCGTGGTGGCGGATGCCTGTAATCCAGTCGGGAGGCTGAGGCAGGAGAATCGCTTGAACCTGGGAGGTGGAGGTTGCATTGAGCCAACATCATGCCATTGCACTTCAGCCTGGGCAATAAGAGCGAAATTCTGTCTCAAAAAAAAAAAAAAAAAAAATTTAGAATTCAAAAGTTCAAATTCCAATAGTGGATCATCCTACAGTATACTTGATCAGTGCTTTACAAAGCTGTCAAGGTCATCAAAAACAGGGAAAGTTTGAGAAATTGTCACAGCCAAGAGGAGCCTAAGGAGACATGATTTAATTGTAATATAGTGTCCTGAATGGGGTCCTGGACCCAAAAAAGACATTAGGTAAAAACTAAGAGAATCTGAATCAACCATGGGCTTTAGTTAATAATAATTTATCAGTATTGGTTCATAAATCATAACAAATAGATCACACTGATTTAAGATATTAATAATAGGGGAAACTGGGTGTGAGGTATATGAGAACCCTCTGTACTGTCTTCTCAGCTTTCCTGTAAATCCAAAAACATCCTAAAAAATTGTTTTAAGTCTGCTTTTGCCCAACAGTTACCAAAATCTTTACAGAGAGGAAAACATCTCCTTGAGCACTAGGTTACCAATCATGGGCCATGAACATTTTTACTGTGTGCTTAAAAAGAAACAGAAAAGGCTGGGCTAGGTGGCTCATGCCTATGATCCCAGTACTTTGGGAGGCCAAGGTAGGCGGATCGCTTGAGGTCAGGAGTTCGAGACCAGTCTGACCAACATGGTGAAACCCCATCTCTACTTAAAAAAAAAAAAAATACAAAAATTAGCTGGGTGTGGTGGTGCACGCCTGTAATCCCAGCTACTTGGGAGGCTGAGGCAGGAGAATTGCTTGAACCTGGGAGGCAGAGGTTGCAGTGAGCTGAGATCACACCACTGCACTCCAGCCTGGGCAACACATTGAGACTCTGTCTCAAAAAAAGAAAAAAGAAACAGAAAAGTTTAAAGTGTTTGACTAATCATATTTAAGCAAGTTCCCAATAAAAATAAGTTGCTCAAATGACAAATTTGTGATTCAGGGGTTTCTTTTAATTCAACAAAGAGAAATAAAGCCTCCTGTGATTAAGAAAGACTTTGACATCCACAAGAGAAACTAATTTCTAGGCTTGAGAAAATTGCTTTGAGTCAGAAAATATGCTTTATTTCCCATTAATTGTTCATGAAATGTTTCTACTATTTTAACAATTTCTGTCTCATCACCAATGAATTTTTATTTCTCTTTTGATTTTTTTAATCCTCACCTCCACATCCCCCCAAAAAGCCAGAATAGTTGTTGGGGTCTTCAAATGAATGCAATTCATTATATTATCTCCCTTTTGCAAGCTAATGAGATGGATTATAAAGAAATCAAGGCTTTTTGTTTGTTTGTTTGTTTGTTTGTTTGTTTTTGAGACGGAGTCTGGCTCTGTCCCCCAGGCTGGAGTGCAGTGGCGCGATCTCGGCTCACTGCAAGCTCCACCTCCTGCGTTCACTCTATTCTCCTGACTCAGCCTCCCGAGTAGCTGGGACTATAGGCACCCGCCACCATGCCCGGCTGATTTTTTGTATTTTTAGTAGAGATGGGGTTTCACCGTGTTAGCCAGGATGGTCTCAATCTCCTAACCACGTTATCCACCCGGCTTGGCCTCCCAAAATGCTGGGATTACAGGCGTGAGCCACCGTGCCCGGCCCCAGAAATCAAGGTGTTTTTTTTAAACAGTTTTAAAGCAGAACATTGCTTTTTTCTTAAAGGTTAAGAGGAGACAGAATCTCAAGAATTAGAAATAAGGCTGGGCGTGGTGGTTCATGCCTGTAATCCCAGCACTTTAGGAGGCCAAGTGGAAGGACTGCTTGAGCCCAGGAGTTTGAGACCAGCCAGGGCAACATAACCAGACCGTGTCTCTACAAAAAAATTAAAAAATTAGCCAGGCATGGTGGCATGTGCCTGTAGTTCCAGCTACTCAGGAGGCCGAGGTGGGAGGATCACTTGACCCTGGAAGGTTAAGGCTGCAGTGAGCTATGATTGCACTACTGCACTCTAGTCCAGGCAACAGAGCAAGACCCAGTGTCAAGAAATTAAGTAAAAACATATTGAAGAAAAGGGAATGAATAGAAGTTAAAATAATCAGCTGGGTTCTGTGGCTCATGCCTATAATCCTGGCACTTTGGGAGGGTGAGGCAGGCGGATCACTTGAGCCCAGGAGTTCAAGACCACCCTGGGCAACATGGCAAAACTCTGTCTCTTTTAAAAAAGAAAACAAAAATCAAAACATAAGCTATTTGGAGCCAAAAAAAACAATGAAACAAAATGGATGAGATTTAGAATAAAAGATAAAGAGCTAGAGGCCAATAAACTTTGAAAATAAAACATTAATATTTTAATATCAGAGTTGTAGTCACATGTATATGTACAAATATGTCCATCAATGCTATTAATAAAAGCAGTACGTTGTCCAACAATAAGAAAATAATTGGCCGGGCGTGGTGGCTCATGCCTGTAATCCTAGCACTTTCAGAGGCCAAGGCGGGCAGATCGCTTGAGCTCAGGGGTTTGAGACCAGCATGGGCAACATGGTGAGACCTCGTCTCTGCAAAAAAATACAAAAAGTTAGTGGGCATGGTGGCGTGCACCTGTAATTCTAACTACTTGGGGAGCTAAGGCAGGAGGATTGCTTGAGCCCAGGAGGTGGAGGCTGCAGTGAACCAAGATCATGCCACTACAACCTGGGTGACAAAGTGAGACCCTGTCTCAAAAACAACCACAACAACAAAAAAGATTCTAGGTATTTAGTCTCCATTTCTCTGTTTTGTTGCAGACCAATGACAATTTAGGGACCACACCAGTCTATAGATAACACTTAGAGTAGCACCAGTTGACCAGATCCCTCAAATATTTGATTGATTGATTGACTGATCGATTGATTTGAGATGAAGTCTCACTCTGTCGCCCAGGCTGGAGTGCAGTGGCGCGATCTCGGCTCACTGCAACCTCCCCTCCGCCTCCTGGGTTCAAGCGAGTCTCCTGCCTCAGCCTCCCGAGTAGCTAGGTTTACAGGCCCACGCCACCACGCCTGGCTAATTTTTGTATTTTTAGTAGAGACGGGGTTTTACCATGTTGGCCAGGCTGGTCTCGAACTCCTGGACTCAAGTGATCCACCTGCCTCAGCCTCCCAAAGTGCTGGGATTAACAGGTGTGAGCCACTGTGCCTGGCCTGGAGGGAACATATTTAATGCTCAAGAAGTCAGATCAGGAAATGGCAGATGGGTGCTATGCCTCTTGTATCAAGGCTCAGAAGAGGAGGCAGTGTGATGCTCGTTGCAGTGCTGTGTTGGTCAGGAATCTTGGGGTGCAACATCCATGAACCCCAATTAAACCAGCTTAAGCCAAAAAGGAAAGGCATGGACTCACACAGCTGAAAGTCCAGCTTCCTGTCCACACTGTAAGTCAAGCCTTCAGGCATAGCTAGATCAAGCAGAGCCCTTTTTAATCTGTCTTTCTCCATACTCTCAGCCCTGCTTTCTTCCATGCTGGAAGTTCCTGCAAATATCTTAACACTGAGGTTAATTAAGCTGATTTAGATCACATGTTGACCCTTGAACTGTGGACTATCCTGATCAGCCAGGCCTGAGTCCTGTGTCCACTGCCCCTAGTTTCCAAATTCAGGCAGCTGTGACGGAGTCCTTTGAGCGTGCTCACTCATCCTGTAATTCCTGGATCATGTTTTTGTCACAGGATTTCAACAGATCACATGGATCAAGGCCTTAGGGAGGTGGTTGGGGATTCACGTATGCCCTGGACCATCTGGAGCCCAAGTTGCTGCAGATCCTGTCACCACGAGTGGACACCCTCTGGCCACCATAGCAAAGAAGTCTGCAGGCAGGAGGTAGGCAGTAGGGCAGGACTGCTTATTCTGTATGGAAGAGGCAATATCTGACCCCAACATGGCAGATGCCAGGAGCACAAGAAAAGCCCCCCTTGCTCCAAAGAGAACCCCTGCTCCCCCATCTTCTGGATAGTGCCTGAAATTCTACCCAGACTGTCTTACTTTAACCTTAGGCCCACATTAAGGTCCAGATACCCATGAGAGTTACTATCAGGCATTCTTGTTGTGAAGAGTTAGAAAACAGGTTTTGTTAACAAGAGGGAATAAAAATCAGTGTAGTGTAGGAGGTGAAAAATTACAAAGACTATGAAAGACCTTGGGGGTAGGAGGTGAGAAATTACAAAGACTATGAAAGACCCTGTCACTTCCCAGCATGCCTGGGACTGGAGCTGGATAGGGCAAGGGGTTGGGATATACATAAGTGACAAGGTGTTTTCTATATCAAGTGAGAACTCAGAAAAAGCACGATTGGAAGTGTCACTGAAACACCAGGGGTTCTGTCTAGGTCTTGCTGCTGGCTGCTCAGAAAGCCAATCACTGAGACAACGAGTATTGCCAGGGAAGAAGGCTTAGGCTTTAATCTGGTGGTGCAGCTGAGGTGAACAGGAGATGAAGGCTCAAATCTGTCTCCCCAGTTGATTAAGATTGAGGGATTTACATAGTGGGGAAGGCGGAAAATCAGGAAGTAGGGAGGGGTAAGGAAGCAGTCAGGATGGGGAGTCTGGTGTCTCATTGTCTGGAGGTAGTGATCTGATGGGTTTCAGTTCCTTGCCTGAAGGTCAGTTTCCTGAGGAAGAAACTCTGATGAGATAGTTTCAAGTTTTAAGACCAGGGGAGAGTCCATTTCTGTGTTTATTCAGCAAACTATACATATTAGTTTTATGGGACAATTGGGCTGATTTCAAAAGGAAGCCCAATGGATGGTGATTGCATAATGGAAGAGAATCCAAGAACCAAGTTTTTTTTTGTTGTTTGTTTGTTTGTTTGTTTGTTTGTTTGTTTTGAGACGGGGTCTCACTCTGTCGCCAGGCTGGAGTGCAGTGGTGCAATCTCAGCTCACTGCAACCTCCACCTCCTGGGTTCAAGCAGTTCTCCTGCCTCAGCCTCCCAAGTAGCTGGGACTACAGATGCGTGCCACCACACCCGGCTAATTTTTTGTATTTTTAGTAGAGATGGGGTTTCACCATGTTAGCCAGGATGGCCTCAATCTCCTGACCTTGTGATCCTCCTGCCTTGGCCTCCCAAAGTGCTGAGATTACAGGCGTGAGCCACCACACCCAGCCTTTTTTTTTTTCTTTTTTCAAGATGGAGTCTCGCTCTGTTGCCTAGGCTGGAGTGCAGTGGCACGATCTCAGCTCACTGCAACCTCTGCCTTCCCAGTTCAAGCAATTCTCCTGCCTCAGCCTCCCAGGTAGCTGGGATTACAGGTATGCACCACCACGCTGGCTAATTTTTGTATTTTTAGTTGAGACGGGGTTTCGCCATGATGGCCAGGCTGGTCTCAAACTCCTGACCTCAAATGATGCGCCCACCTTGGCCTCCCAAAGTGCTGGGATTACAGGCATGAGCCGCCACACCAGGCCAAGAACTAAGTCTTAAAAGGATTGAGAGGTGGGACAGGTAAAGGGCTGAGGTAGGGGTAGAACATTCACAGTGGGGAAACAAATTGAACAAAGGGTGGAGATTGAAATAAAATCTGTATGTGCTGGTGGTTTTGGTTTTGCAATGCCTGCTGTATACCTGGCCACTTTACAGACAAATTCCCTTTTCTTTGTTCCATAAATAATTTTTAAAACTGTGATAAAATATACATAACATAAAATTTACCATTTTAACCATTTTTAAGTGTGCAGTTCAGTGGTATTAAGTATGTTCACATTATTGTGCTACCATCACCACTGTCTGCCTCCAGAACTTTTTCATAATTCTAAATTGAAACTCTACAGCCATTAAACACTGATTTCCCATTTCTTCCTCCCTGCAGTACCTGCTAACCATGATTCTGCTTTCTGTGTCTATGAATTTGACTATTTCAGGTACCTCATATAAGTGGAATCATACAACATGTGACCTATTGTGTCTGGCTTACTTTACTTAGCATAATGCCTTCAAAATTCTTCCAAGTTGTAACATGTATCAGAATGTCATTCCTTTTTTTTTTTTGAGATGAAGTCCTGCTCTTGTTCTCCAGGCTGGAGAGTGCTATGGTGCAATTTTGGCTGACTGCGACCTCCGCCTCCTGGGTTCAAGCAATTCTCCTGCCTTGGCCCCCCAAGTAGCTGGGATTACGGGCACCTGCCCCCACGCCTGGCTAATTTTTGTATTTTTAGTAGAGATGGGGTTTCACCATGTTGGCCAGGCTGGTCTAGAACTCCCCTCAGGTGATCCACCCGCCTCAGCCTCCCAAAGTGCTGGGATTAAATAGGCATGAGCCACTGCGCCCAGCCCGGAATTTCATTCCTTTTAAAGCTGAATAGTATTCCACTGAGTGTATATACCACTTTTTTTTTTTTTCAGATGGAGTCCTACTCTGTCACCCAGGCTGGAGTGCAATGGCACGATCTTGGCTCACTGTAACCTCTGCCTCCCAGGTTCAAGCGATTTTCCTGCCTCAGCCTCCCAAGTAGCTAGGATTACAGGTGTCCGCCACCACGCCCAGCTAGTTTTTGTATTTTTAGTAGAGACCAGGCTGGTCTTGAACTCCTGACCTCAGGTGATCCACCCGCCTCAGCCTCCCAAAGTGCTGGCATTACAGGCGTGAGCCACCATGCCCAGCCACCACATTTTATCTATCCATCCTTCGATGGACATTTTGGGTTTTTCTACCTTTTGGTATTTTGAGTAATTCTGCCATGAGCAAGGGTGTACAAATATCTGTTTGAATCCCTGCTTGCAATTCTTTGTGTATACACCCAGAAATGGAATTACTGCATCATATAGTAATTCTTTACTTAATTTTCTGAGGAACTGCTATACTGTTTTCTACAGTGACTGTACCATTTTACATTCCCACCAACAGTGCACAAGGTTCCAATTTCTCCATATCCTCACCAATACTTTTTTTTCTTTCTAAAATAATAACCCCCCTATTGGGTATGAGGTGGTAACACACTGTGGTTTTGATTTGCACTTCCCTAATGATTAGTGTTGTTGAACATTTTTTTCATGTGCTTATTGATCATTTGTATATCTTCTTTGGAGAAATGTCTTGAAATCCTTTGCCTGTTTCAAAATTGGGTTTGTTGTTGTTGAGTTGTAGGAGTTCTTCATATATTCTGGATATCAGTCCATTAACAGATTATGTGATTTACAAATATTTTCTCACCATTGAATATGATGATAGTTGTAGGATTCTCACATATGGCTTTTATTATGTTGAGGTAGTTTACTTCTATTTCTCATTTGTTGAGTGGTTTTAGCATGAAAGTGTGTTAAATTTTGTCAAGTGCTTTTTCTGCATCAGTAGAGATGATAATATGTTTATTTTTAACCTTCATTCTGTTAATGTGATGTTTTACGTTGGTTGGTTTTTGTGTACTAAACTATCTTTGCATTCCAGGAATAAGTCCCACTTGGTCATGGTGTGTAATCCTTTTAATATGTTGCTGAATTTGGTATCCTAGTACTTTGTTGAAGACTTGTGCATCAATATTCATAAAGGATATTGGTCTATAGCTTTCTTTTTTTGTAGTGGCTTTGGTATCAGGGTAATGCCAGCTCCATAGAATGACTAGTAAGTGTTCCCTCTTCAATTTTTGAAAGGTTTGAGAAAGATTGGTGTTAGTTCTTTGTTAAATGTTTGGTAGAATTCCACAGTGAAGCCTTGAGCTCAGGGCTATAGAGAGGGATTTCATAAGAAGGAAGTATACCAATTGTTCATGGTCTGTGAAAGAAGCAATAAAAGAAACAGGCTCAGATTAGGAAAGGAAAGGTGATGTTTGGAGAGTAGGGAGAAAATCCTTGCTCAAAGAATGGTCAAGACAGTTTCAAATGGCCTCTAACCTGGACCTCTCAGAAGAGGGGGACGAACAGGCAACAGCCTCGTGGTTCTCCAGCCTCCAGGTGATGGACTGGGTTGGACTGGCTCTCTGGTCTCTCTAACTCAAGGGCTCCATGATTCTATGATGTCACTGACGAGAGAAGAATGGGGAGCTGGGCTCAGCTCCAGCTGTTCCGATTCCTCTCTCCTCTGGGTCCTGATAGTTTTTGGGGTGAGGGAGGTGAGCTGCGTGATCACACATGTCCCAGCTCAGTCTCCCCTCTGGCCACCTCAGCCCCCACCACAGTTATGGAGAGAAATTAGCCAGTGTGAGTCAACTCTGCAACAAGCAGAGCATCTTTCATGAAGCTGAACTGACCAAAAGAACAACAAAGAAAACAGCTTTTTATTCCTCTGTTTCTAGAAAACTTAAAGAACAAGAGAACTGCATTCAAATTGAGCTGGAAAAGAATATTTGGACAGTCTGTGATTGTGAGAGTGGATGAGTCTTCTAGCTAAACCTATGAGCTTTGAAACCACAGCAATCACTTTCTTCATCATCCTTCTAATTTGCCTCATTTGCATCCTCCTCTTATTGGTGGTTTTTTTATATAAATGGTATAAATCCATGCTGATAATTGGGATCAGATTTCAAGTCACATTAGCAAATGTGTATAGAAATAATGTAAAACAATTTAAAACAGAACAAGTAATGATACCATAATTATCTACTTTTCCATTTCAGCATTTTAGAAATGCTGATATCCTGTTTAAACGTGAAGTTTCTATACCACACCTTAAAATCAGGGCCATTCTTCCTTTTCTGAATTTGTGGCTTGTTTGTTTTCAGTTTCCAAGGCAGGAAAGGTAAAGAGACAAAGAAAGTGCCTTGTACAGATGCAAACGGAGGTGTAGACTGTGCAGCTGCCAAAGTGGTGACAAGCAATCCAGAGGACCATGAAAGGCGAGTGTGGTGCAGGATGTGGCAGAGGCCATTTTGTGTTTGATAGTGGGGATGAGGATGCATGAATGTTTAAAACTCTACCGATTAATTTTCTAGGATCTTAATGCAAGTCATGAACTTGAATGTGCCGATGAGGCCTGGCATTCTTGTCCAGAGACAGAGTAAGGAAGTGTTGGCCACACCCTTAGAAAACAGAAGGGACATGGAGGCAGAAGAGGAGAACCAAATAAATGAGAAGCAAGAGCCTGAGAATGCTGGAGAAACTGGTCAAGAAGAGGTGATGTGTTTTTCTACTCTCAAAGAGCAGTTTAGAATTTGTTTGATTGAAAATAAGGTACATTCCTCAGCTAGGTATAATAATAGGAGATGGAGGACCGGGCGGGTGGCTCACGCCTGTAATCCCAGCATTTTGGGAGGCCAAGGAGGGCGGATCACGAGGGCACATCGAGACCAGCCTGGCCAACATGGTGAAACCCCGTCTCTACTAAAAATACAAAAATTAGCTGGGCGTGGTGGCACCCGCCTGTAATCCCAGCTACTTGGGAGGCTGAGGCAGGAGAATCGCTTGAACCCGGGAGTCAGAGGTTGCAGTGAGCCAAGATCGCCACTGCACTCCAGCCTGGTGACAGAGGGAGACTCCATCTCAAAAAAAAATAATAATAATAATAAATAATAATAATAATAGGAGATGGAGTTGCATATAACTTAGGTTTGTAAGTAGAATGAGTCCAATGCCCACAGTCATTTAAGCCATTCTGGTTGCTTATCAGTTCGTGTTACTAAACCATTACATATGCCAAGTCTAGAAACTTGCTTAGTCTTCATTCTTACATTTATGTTTTTCTTAATAATTCCCCTTCAGTTTGTTTTTCTCAAAATCCTAGAATCTTAGAGCTGTTAAGAGACTATCTAGGGATCCAGCCCTCTCCTGTTTCCAATGAGAAAACGAGATGAATTGTTTACCTCTCCACTGTGGCCAAGCTCAGGCCCAGACCGCAGCCCCCTGTGCTAGCTCCAGGGTCCTACAACAGCACACAACACAGCTGGGTCCTTCTTGAGCTCTGTGTCTGCGATTCCCTGACACGAACAACTCACATACCCTCCCACCCCATGGCCATGCCCGGTTGACGACAGAATGATGGTCCTGGTGGCTCTTGGGTTTGACCACTTCATGGAGAGAATTACATGTCACCAAATGTTATTTGAATATGTCAGTGTGTGCTTTTATAACCATAAAAATGTGAAAATGTGATCATGATGGATTATTGCTACTTTCCTATATCATTTAGAAATGCTTTTTCTGTTTCTCGTTAAGTGTACATATAACCTGTAATTTTAAAAGCAGGGCTTGTCATAAATTGATTATTTGTTTATATTGTTTGTCCCATTCTCTTGCAGGATGATGGTTTGCAGAAAATACACACATCTGTCACTAGAACTCCTTCAGTTGTTGAAAGCCAAAAAAGACCTTTAAAAGGAGTGACATTTTCTAGGGAGGTAATTGTTGTGGATCTTGGGAATGAATACCCTACACCTCGAAGCTATACTCGAGAACATAAAGAGAGGAAATGAAGCTCAAAAAAGGGTAAGAGTGAAAGAAAATGTAACGTTTGACTAACGTTGAAAGACTGAGGGTACAAAATCATGTTGAAACAACAAAACAATGGGGAATTAAGCAAATAAAGATATTATTTTACCTTTGTGCAGAAAGGAGTGAGCCATGTGCAAAATTCTGTAAGTAAAATACTTAGAGCTTGAATATAATTTTTTAAAAATTCAAATCTGAGTTCAAGAAATTGATTGTATTGCCCTTAAAACTATCTACTCAAACACTGTTCTGGCATGTGAATAAAGTGATTTTTGTTTGTACAAATACCTATTAGGTACATCATATTCAAGGGGGATTTTTTGAAATAATACATGTTCTGCATGCTCTGATCATAGGCATTCATGACCAAATAACACTACAGCTGTCATCACGGAAGCTTCCATAACTGTCGTCTTCTACTACATAATCCCCATTGAACTCAGTCCTGAAACCTTTCTTGTACTGACCACTGCTTCTTAAAAATTGGTACAGGCTGGGCACGGTGGCTCATGCCTGTAATCCCAGCACTTTGGGAGGCTGAGGTGGGTGGATCACCTGAGGTCAGGAGTTCGAGACCAGCCTGGTCAACGTGGTGAAACCCTGTCTCTACTGAAAATACAAAAATTAGTCCGGCGTGGTGGCGTGCCTCTGTAATCCCAGCTACTCGGGAGGCTGAGGTGGGAGAATTGCTTGAACCAGGGAGGCAGAGGCTGCAGTAAGCTGAGATTGTGCCACTGCACCCCAGCCTGGGCAACAGAGCAAGACCCCATCTCAAAAAAAAAATTGGTACAAAAAACAAACTACAACAGCCTGGGCAATATAGGGAACTCTGTCTCCACAAAAAATAAAAATAAAATAAGCCTGACATGGTGGTGCATGCCTTTAGTCCCAGCTACTAGGGAAAAACAGGCCCAACGTGGTGGCTCACACCTGTAATCCCAGCACTTTGGGTGGCTGAGGCGGGCAGATCACCTGAGGCCAGGAGTTCGAGACCCAGCCTGGCCAAAATGGTGAAACCCCATCTCTACTAAAAATACAAAAAAATTAGTGGGGTGTGGTGTCGCACTCCTGTAATCCTAGCTACTCAGGAGGCTGAGGCAGGGGAATTGCTTGAACCTGGGAGGCAGAGGTTGCAATGAGCTGAGATTGCACTACTGCACTCCAGCCTGGGTGACAGAGGGAGACTCCATCTCAAAAAAAACAAAAACACAAACTACTACCAACAACAAAACATCCTATTACTTTATGCAAGTTCTGAGATTATACTATTCTTGATTTCAGTGGTTTAAAACTTGCTGTCCATGTGTGGAATATGACAGTACAGACTGCTACGACATCATCCACACAGCTGCAGTATACATTTGTGACATGTCTAAGGGGCTCTGAGAGAAAAAGCAGATTCATTTGATTCAGAGGCCTCGCCCATTGTCATGTGGATGTTCCATAAATGTCTGTGGAATGATTGGGAGTATAAGTGATAAAATATTTTAGAATGTAGAACTATTGCCAAATGGGGTGTACTGACACCCTCTGCTGGGAGGCATGTCGCTGTGGGCTGGGACCATCCCACTGAGAGGAGGAAAAGGAACTTAGACAAATGGAAGGATTAGATAGATAAGACAAGCAGCTGGGGAAGAACATGAGTCAAGGCAAAGAGGTGAGGATGTGTATTGGGTTTGGTTCACACCAGTTGGCTGTCGCTGAATGTGGGTGTAGAGGAGAGTTGAGAGGCAACAGTGAAGTGTGGTGAGAAGTCAAAGTGAGGTTCACTTAGGATCCCAGGCTAAGGGTATAAAGTGGGAAATGGATCCAAGCTATGTGGACTGTTGGGGGAAGGTGCCTGCGGATATATTCAGAGTCTCTTTAAATTTTTTATCGTTCACCTGATGATAATACTAAATTTTAAAAAATTTTCATTTTGGTAAAAGATATATGACATAAAACTTGCCACCTTAACCATTTATTTTATTTTATTTTTTGAGACAGGGTCTCACTCTGTTGCCTAGGCTGGAGTGCAGTGGTGCGATCAGGGCTCATTGCAGCCTTGACCTCCGGGGCTTAAGCAATCCTCCCACCTCAGTCACCAGAGGAACTAGGACTACAGGCACATGCCACCATGCCCAGCTAACTTTCGTATTTTTTGTTGAGACGGGATTTCACCATGTTGCCCAGGCTGGTCTCGAACTCCTGAGCTCAAGAAATCCACCCACCGTGGCCTCCCAAAGTGCTGGGATTACAGGTGTGAGCCACCATGCCAGGCTTCATCTTAGCCATTTTTAAGTGTACAGTTCAATAGTGTTTTAAGTACATTCACATTGCAGTACAATTGTCACCACAGTTTTGTAGAAGTTCCAATACAGGAAAATGATGGGAAAATTGGCCATCAATACCTATAACCATATAGGCACATGGAATTCCAGAAAGCCATCCGGATCACGACTGTAACGTGAACAGCAGCACAGTCAACAAAGAGCTTCTGGCACTAAACGTCCATTTGACTTTTATTGGTTCTGTGCTTTTTTGTATTTGATTTGTAAATTTCTTTTCTTTCTTTTTTTTTTTTTATTTTGAGACGGAGTCTCGCTGTCACCCAGGCTGGAGTGCAGTGGCGCGATCTCAGCACACTGCAAGCTCCGCCTGCCGGGTTCACACCATTCTCCTGCCTAAGCCTCCCGAGTAGCTGGGACTACAGGCGCCCGCCACCATGACCAGCTAATTTTTTGTATTTTTAGTAGCGATGGGGTTTCACTGTGTTAGCCAGGATGGTCTCGATCTCCTGACCTCGTGATCTGCCAGCCTTGGCCTCCCAAAGTGCTGGGATTACAGGCGTGAGCCACCGCACCTGGCCTGTAAATTTCTTTTAGTTTTAAAGTTAGATGAAAGCTTTTAGGTTAGGGAGTTGATATCCGTCTTTGCGTTTCTACATGTTTTTAAGTGACACTATAATATACATAATCTTAGGCAATAATGGAAGAAGTCCATGAGAGCTTTCCTCCAGGAGTAAGTTATTGAGGATTAGCAACTAGGAGGTGGTAAATGGAGATGGCTCCAGTGATGATTCAGATTTGAAGGATGTGGACCTGGAATAGAAGGTGGCAGAATGTAATGAGAAGATGAAGAAAGATTAAGGCACATCACTTCCTGGTTAGATGTGGGAGGAGCGAGAGGAGGGTGCAAAGATGGCTCCTGAGTTTGGATACCTGCCAGACAGTCAGGAATAGGAGAGTCCAGGGAAGTAACTAGTTAGGGCAAAAAGATTAGGCAGGTTGGCCGGGCGCGGTGACTCACGCCTGTAATCCTAACACTTTGGGAGGCCGAGGTGGGCGGATCACGAGGTCAGGAGTTTGAGACCAGCCTGGCCAACATGTTGAAACCCCGTCTCAACTAAAGATACAAAAAAATTTAGCCAGGCGTGGTGGCATGTGCCTGTAATCCCAGCTACTCGGGAGGCTGAGGCAGGAGAATCACTTGAACCTGGGAGGTGGAGGTTGCAGTGAGCTGAGATCGTGCCATTGCACTCCAGCCTGGGTGACAGGGCGAGACTCTGTCTCCAAAAAAAAAAAAAAAAAAAAGATTAGGCAACTTTTAGCTCTGTTAAATTTGAAGTACTGACTACAGATTCAACTGAAGATGCTCCACGGACAGTGAAGCTGTAGGGCTCCATGTGTCTATCTCCTAAGCTATGGCTCCAGAGAAAAAGTTGAGCAGTTTTTTCTCAATGCCTGTTGGTGTTTCACTTGCAAAGGTGGGATCAAACTTGCCACTTTACCTCTTTAATTAGCTGTTGGTCCAGGGACTTTCTTCAAATGACTACCTCAAACAGGACACATCACCCAAAAGCCAAAAGGGAAAAGCTTGATAAAGCTTGGACTACTTAAAAATTCTTTTTTGTTGTTAAGAAAAAAAAAAAAAAACACACACACACACACACACACACACACACACACACACACAGTCCAAACCCCAACAGTAAACTAGGAAGGCCTATTTATTTATTTATTTATTTATTTATTTTTTTTTTTGAGACGGAGTGTCGCTCTTTCGCCCAGGCTGGACTGCAGTGGCGCTATCTTGGCTCACTGCAAGCTCCGCCTCCCGGGTTCATGCCATTGTCCTGCCTCAGCCTCCCGAGTAGCTGGGACTACAGGCACCCGCTACCACGCCCGGCTAATTTTTTTTGTATTTTTAGTAGAGACGGGGTTTCACCGTGTTAGCCAGGATGGTCTCGATCTCCTGACCTCGTGATCCGCCCGCCTCGACCTCCCAAAGTGCTGGGATTACAGGCGTGAGCCACCGCGCCCAGCCGGAAGGCCTATTTTTAAAACAACTTTTTTTTGAGGAGTCTCACTCTGTCACCCAGGCTGGAGTGCAGTGGCACGATCTCAGCTCACTGCAAGCTTCACCTCCCAGGTTCACGCCATTCTCCTGCCTCAGCCTCCTGAGTAGCTGGGACTACAGGCGCCTGCCACCAAGCCCGGCTAATTTTTGCATTTTTAGTAGAGATGGGGTTTCACCCTGTTAGCCAGGATGGTCTTGATCTCCTGACCTCATGATCTGCCCGCCTCAGCCTCCCAAAGTGCTGGGATTACAGGCGTGAGCCACCGTGCCCGGCCTAAAACAACTTTTACATTGAAATAATTTCAGATTTATAGAAGGGCTGCAAGAGTAGTACAAAGAACTTCACTCAGATTCCTCAGTTAACAGTTTACCACAATGGTCTTACCATTTTCTCTCTCGATATATACATATTCACATTTTAAAGCATTTAAGAGTGAGATGCAAACATTATGTATCATTTGCCTCAACACATATTTCTGAAATTCTGCAACATTCTCCCAGATAACTGCAGGTCAACCATCATTTAAGATCGATTCACTATTACCACTATCTAATCTACAGTCCCCATTCAAAATTTACCAGTGTCCCAATTTAATATATATATTAAATATGTATGTATAGAAGAACATGTATATAGATGCATCCCTTCCATCGTGTTCTGGTTGGTGAGAAGCAAGTCACTAAGTCCAGCCTATGTTCAAGGGCAAAGAGATTATACCTTTTGAAGGGGAAAGTTTCAAAAAAGTTGTAGACCACAGTATCCATTTCTGTAGCTATCTATCCTTATACATGACAATGAGCTCATACCAGCACCTCCAATTCCAATCCAGTAGGTCCTATTCTAGCTTTACTCACTCCATATTTGTAACCCCCTTGTCTAATAATGAGAAATCTGGCTTCCATTATGCTCAACTTACTTACTGCTCAATCCCCTATTTATCATGATTCCACCAAACACAGGCTCCAGCATTATTGACTTTGGTGATTGTTATGCTGGGAAACGTTTTTTTTTTTTTAATTTATGACCAAAGGTTGATTTCGTTATAAAGAAATGATTAAGAACATTCAGATACATAAGAAATTATTTCATCCATAGGAATAAGAAAATATGAATCACCTAGTTTTAAATTGGCAGAGATAATATGTATAGGCAGAAAAATAAATGGCCAAAAAAATTTTAGATGCTCACCTGACTTCATAAAAATAATCTAAAGTAAAACAATAAGTATCTTATTTATAAAAAAATTATATTGATTTTTTTAATCTATCAGACTGTCAAATGTTAGAAAGGTGGCTGATACTGGTGAAGGGTTAAAGAGGAGGAGGAAAAGAATTCTCATTAGACAAAAGTAACTGACCCTTGAACAACATGGGCCCACTTATATGCAGATTTTTTTCAGTAAAAGTTACTGAGTGTGCGCCTGCCTCTCCTGCCTCCCCTTCTACCTCCTCCACCTCTTCCGCCTCTGCCACCCCTGAGACAGTAAGACCAAGCCCTCCTCTTCCTCCTCCTTAGCCTACTCAGCATGATGACTATCAGAATGAAGAACTTTATGGTGATCCACTTCCCCTTAATGAACAGTAAATATATTATCTCTTCCTTATAATATTTTTTTCTTTTTTTTGAGACAGAGTCTCACTCTGTCGCCCAGGCTGGAGTGCAGTGGCATGATCTCAACTCACTGCAACCTCTGCCTCCCGGGTTAAAGCGATTGTCTTGCTTCAGCCTCCCAAGTAGCTGGGATTACAGGTACCTGCTATAATGCCCGGCTAATTTTTGTATTTTTGTAGAAGTGGGGTTTCATCATGTTGGCCAGGGTGGTCTTGAACTCCTGACCTCAGGTGATCCGCCTGCCTTGGTCTCCCAACGTGCTGGGATTACAGATGTGAGCCACCATGCCCAGCCTTCGTTATGATTTTCTTAATAATACTTTCTTTTCTCTAGCTTACTTTATTGCAAGAATATGGTAAATTTAAGGCCGGGCACGGTGGCTCACATCTGTAATCCCAGCACTTTGGGAGGCCGAGGCGGGCGGATCACGAGGTCAGGAGATCGAGACCATCCTGGCTAACATAGTGAAACCCCGTCTCTACTAAAAAATACAAAAAATTAGCCGGGCATGGTGGCAGGCGCCTGTAGTCCCAGCTACTCGGGAGGCTGAGGCAGGAGAATGGCGTGAACCCAGGTGGCGGAGCTTGCAATGAGCCGAGATTGTGCCACTGCACTCCAGCCTGGGCGACAGAGTGAGATCTGTCTCAAAAAAAAAAAAAGAATATGGTAAATTTAATATACATAATATACAAAATATATGTTAATCAACTCTTCTAGATAAGGCTTCCAGCCAACAGTAGGCTAGTAATAGTTAAGTTTTGGGGAAGCCAAAAGTTATACACAAATTTCTGACCATGTAGGGGAGTCAGTGCCCCTAAACCTCCCATGTTGTATAGGGGTCAACTGTGTCAATTGGTAAATCTTTCTGGAGGATAACTGGGCAGTTTCTGTCAAAATTGAAAGTATATGCACCTTTCCATTCTGCATGCCACTGGCTAGAATGTACCCTGTGATAAACTTGCAAAACTTAACTCATGCGTAAACTTGCTTGTTTCCTCCAAGTGAGGCTCAGGAAAAGAGAAAGAGGAAGAGGGAAAGAGGGAGAGAGAGAGGTAGGCAACCCACCAGCAAGAAGATGGGGAGTTTTGGCCGGGCGCGGTTGCTCACGACTGTAATCCCAGCACTTTGTGATGCTGAGGTGGGCGGATCACCTGAGGTCAGGAATTTGAGACCAGCCTGGCCAACACGGTGAAACCCCATCTCTACTAAAAATATAAAAATCAGCTTGGCGTGGTGGCAGGCACCTGTAATCCCAGCTACTCGGGAGGCTGAGGCAGGAGAATCACTTGAACCCAGGAGGCGGAGGTTGCAGTGAGCCGAGATCGTGCCACTGCACCCCAGCCTGGTTGACAGAGCAAGACTCCGTCTCAATTAAAAAAAAAAAAAAAAAGGCCGGGCACGATGGCTCATGCTTGTAATTCCAGCACTTTGGGAGGCTGAGGTGGGCAGATCACAAGGTCAGGAGATCGAGACCGTCCTGGCCAACATGGTGAAACCTCATCTCTACTAAAAATACAAAAATTAGCCGGGCATAGTGGCGTGTGCCTGTAATCCCAGCTACTCGGGAGGCTGAGGCAGGAGAATCGCTTGAACCTGGGAGGTGGAGGTTGCAGTGAGCTGAAATCGTGCCACTGCACTCCAGCCTGGTGACAGAGCGGGACTCCGTCTCAAAAAAAAACAAAAAAAAAACACAACACAGTCTTTTGGTAACCTAATCCTGTAAGGAACATCTCATCACTTTTGCTGTATTCTGTGCATCGGAAACAAGTCACCAGGTCCAGCCTACACTCAAGGGGAGGGGATTACAGAAGGGCACAAATACCAAGAGGGAGGGATAGGTGAGGGTCATCTTAGAGGCTGCCTGCCACAGAGACTCAGTTTGGTACTGCCCCAGGTGATGGGGAAAGCAAACATCAGTCCTCTTGCGCAGTACTTGACTTCAGCAGAGGTGAAGAGCAGTTTTAAGAAACTGCCAAGTGAAGGTGCCCCCTGGTTTCAGAGCTATTAAAATGTCTGTGCCTTGTGCAGTGGCTCACACCTAAAATCCCAGTGACTCAGGAGGCTGGGGCAGGAGGATCACTTGAGCCCAGGAGTAAGAGGCTGAAGTGAGCTGTGATCACACCACTGCACTCCAACCTGGGTGACAGAGTGAGATCCTGACTCTTTAAAAAGTCTATGATATAATTTACTGACAGAGGGGACTCTCTGAGTGGTGAAGGAGACAACAAGGAAGTTTTGCAGAGGAAGAAACTAAAAGACTTGGTACTGGAGGCTTGGGTGGAAAGGGCCCACCAGGCAAAGCATCCTGAAAGTGTAAATGCACGGGTGTACTGGAGAGCCCAGGTAGACTGCTGTGCAGAGTGCAAGCAATGGTGCAATGCAAGATGGGCTGGAAAGGCAGGCTGGACCAGACCTTCAGTGTGCAGCCTTGCTAAGGGGGTGGGTGTGGGGAGCCACTGATGAATGTTAAGCAGAGCAAGCAGTTATATCAGAGTGCTTGCATGGAGGTAATGGAGGCTGGACTAGAGGAGAAAGAGACTAGCAGGGACAGAGAGGCCATTAGGAAGACCTTGCAAAGATCCATGCAAAGATCCATCCGTGCCCGGCTGGCTTCTTAACTGTCTTCAGCTCAACAATCCTTCAAATTTTGGTCTCCCACAGTTACTAGCAGTGGAATCTAATCCTAATGCAGATAGATGGTAACACTATTTCAGTTTTAGAAACAATGAAGTACACAGAGATTAAGGAACTTGCCTAAGGTCACTCATCTGGTAAGTAGCAGAGCCAAGACTTGGATCGAAGCACAGGGCTTCAGAGCCTGCCAGTGTGGGCGGCCGGTGTGGGCCACTGCTGCTAGAGGACACACAACTCAGCACACATTTCTTCACTGATGGTATAAAAAGACTTCATGGTGGCTTTCACTCGCCCCTCAAAATGTCCTCACTTTTGTCTTCTCACCCATTCTGCTTTGTGCCCATCCTACTTTCCACTCATTCCTAACTTGCACATCTTTGCTGATGTGATTCTTCTTTGGTCTGGAAGGAACTCTCCCATCTCTCTACCTGTTGAAATTCCATTCATCCATCAAGGCCCAGTTCTTCTTTCATATTCCACCAACAAATGACTTCATCCAGTCTTATGAACTAACGTATTTCACAAATATTTATTGAGATCTGCTATGTGCTGGGCACGAGAGATTCTACAACGTGCAAAACAGAAGAACTGTTAGTTGTAAGCTATTGTACTTATCTTTGGATCTGCTACAGCAGTGGCTTTCAAACTTAAAAAACAAACAAACATAGTCTAAGCATAATACATCACCACACACACACACAGCCCCCAATGATTTAAGAAACAATATTTACCTTTACTATATGTAACCACTCTGATCATTTAAACTCAATTCTATTCTATTTCATTCAGATAAAAATGATGGTTGGTACCTCCTGTAAAATTTTACCTCTGCTAAAATTAATTTTATAGCCCATTAAGAGCCTATTAATAAGCTGGAACACACAAGTTTGAGAAATATTCATTCCATCATTCACCCAGTCATCTAAACAAATATTTCCTTGGTGCCCACTATGTGCTGGGCACAGCTCTGGCATCGGGATAAAGAGGAGGAAGCGTGTTTGCCCTCAAGTTGAGCAGGCCAGTGAAGATAACAAAGCTTGAGAGCAAAGGCTACACACAGTGCTATGTGCTATGGTGGCAGTGTGCTTGGGACATTTGCATGCTGGTAGCTCAACAAATATTAAAGGAATTAAATCAAACTAAGGGATAGGCACCAAAATTATAAAAAGAAAATGGAATAGTGACTTCCTCAAAAGCAGACCCTTAGCAGCTCATGGGTCTACTGTGATGTGAAACTGGCATCCAACTCCTGATTCTCTAGTGCATTGCTAATAAGAGTCAATCCTGGGCTGGGTGCGGTGGCTCACGCCTATAATCCCAGCACTTTGGGAGGCCAAGGCGGGTGGATCATCTGAGTTCAGGAATTCAAGACCAGCCTGGCCGATATGGTGAAACCCTGTCTCTACTAAAAATACAAAAATTAGGTGTGGTGGCACACGCCTGTAATTCCAGCTACTTGGGAAGCTGAGGAAGGGGAATTGCTTGAACCTGGGAGGCGGAGGTTGCAGTGAGCTGAGATCATGCCACTGCACTCCAGCCTGGGCAACAGAGTGAGACTCTGTCACAAAAAAAACAAAAAAATGGCAATCCTGGATATGTACATTTTTCAACCCCTTTCTCTCGAGACAGAGAAAGTGTGGTGGAGTTGTTTAGAAAAGGTGAAAATAATCTGGATCTACCCCAGCACAGGTTGGTTATGGGAGAAAGGACATACTTGAGAGGATTTTGCATTTCTTCCCCCAAAGCCTGTCAGTGTTGTCACCCTCACTTTGCTGCAGGTAAGCTGCCACCTGAAGTTGTCCAACTTGCCACCTCCCTTGCATCCTCTCCCACATCAAACCAGTCAAAACCAAGACAGGTAGAGAAACATCCATTCTGATCTTTCTCATCTTAGTAGAGAAATGGGTAGGACAGTGAAAGGGTGGAAGCAGCTGGCTGTTCTCTTCCCCTGTGCCAACCTGTCCTTTGCCTGCAGTCATCCACAAAATACGCTCACGAGTGGAGGTATTTTCTCCATTTGCCTACCGGAGCTACCACGTTCCAACATTATTTTGCGTCTTCCTATTGCAGGCTGACCCTTTGGACTCATCTCCTCCCATGGCTTCTGGGACTTGGCTGAACCACTTGTCCCTCTTGTCGCCAGCTGATCCCCACCAGCAGACATAAGCATTTAAAGGGAAAAGGCAAAAACTCCCTTCATCCATGTACCTATCTCATTACTGTCCAATTGTCTTACCTGTCCTTGCCCAACATTCTGAAAGCACAGTCTCCACCCTCTCACCTCCCATTCACCCGTTACCCGTGACCCAGCTTCTGCCCCATCGTTCACTGAAACTGCTCTCTGCAAAAGGCTCAAGTACCTTCTGTGTTGTTACACCCAATACATATCTTTATATACCTTTATCATCCGACTCATACTTTTCCACACTTGATGACGGCCACTGCTTCTACCGTGCACCCTGGCTCCCTGATTAAATGCCTTTGTGGTTGCCTTCCTCCTCCTTAGTCGCTCTTTGCAGGCCCCCTCTTCCCTGCCTACCTCTTACCTGCTGATTTTTCCCAGAGTTATAGCCCAAGCCTCATTCCAGCCTCTTTCCATTCTAGCCTCTGAGGGTGCGGCTACTAACCAACCTGCAAGTCCCAGTTGCTGAACAAAACGTATTTCTCTGCTGCACCCCAGTGTCTGACGCATTTACATTCCACTTCTGAACACCTCTCATCCCTGAATATTTGTCACCCCTTCTCCACCCTGAGAAGTCCCCCTCCTTCCAGTTTCCATCTTACCCTGGTCCATTGTCCAAAAGTCCGTAAGAATGATTTTTTTTTTTTTTTTTTGAGACGGAGTCTCCCTCTGTGGCCCAGGCTGGAGCGCAGTGGCGTGATCTCGGCTCAATGGAAGCTCCGCCTCCCGGGTTCACGCCATTCTCCTGCCTCAGCCTCCCGAGTAGCTGGGACTACAAGCGCCCGCCACCACGCCCAGCTAGTTTTTTTTTTTGTATTTTTAGTAGAGACGGGGTTTCACCGTGTTAGCCATGATAGTCTCGATCTCCTGACCTCGTGATGCGCCCGCCTCGGCCTCCCAAAGTGTTGGGATTACAGGCGTGAGCCACCGCGCCCGGCCAAGACTGATTGTTCTAGAACACATCTGATCGTGTCATTTCTCCATTTAGGTTGCCTCAGTGGTTGCCCATTGCCTGTATGGCCAAGTGCAAGCTCCTTAGCAGCGGAAATGAGGCTTCTTAAGATCAGGCAACCCCACCACGCTGCTCCTTCATGTGACTCTGTTATAGCTGCTTTAGTGAAGTGTGAAAGGTGAAATCAAAACGTCTTTTTGTTTTGAGGTCAAAACGCCTTTAAGCAGTGTGTTTACATGACTGTTGTAGCTTTCTGGAAGATAATGTTGGAAGGTGGTAGCTCCGGTAGGCAAATGGAGAAAATGTCTCCACTCGTGAGTGTATTTCGTGGATGACCGCAGGCAAAGGACAGGTCGGCACAGGGGAAGAGAACAGTCAGATGCTTCCACCTTTTCACTGTTCTACCCATTTCTGTGCTAACTACCCATGTAGTTAGCAGAGAACACCCCAGTAACATTGTCCAAATAGTTCGTGCAAAGTTTTAGCTAGAAGCCGAAAATTCGTGAAAGGAATCATTAATACTCCATGATAAAGTGCATCAGTTTGCAGTAACATGCGTTTGCAATCACATTCTTTCGTTCTCTCTAAAGGATTATTACGTGAATAAAATGGAAATACTCCCGCAGTAACATGGGACTAGTTGGAAAGGTGCCGGGAAGGGGGGAGGGCGAGAGACTGCGTCGCGGAAAAAACCGCAGCGCGGCAACTGGGCGCGGACTCGCTCTTAGGCGAAATCCGCAAACGGTGTGACGTGTGCGCGCTGTGGCCCCAAAGGCCGGTCTTACAGCGACCTGGGCGTTCGAGGTCGTGTCCTCGAGAGCTATAGGGAGCCTGCCGAGGCCACCTGACGGCGGTGTCGCGTCTACACTGCCGGTTGGACTCTCAGGCACCCGCTACTCAGCGCCCTGCTTCCCGGCGCCGGGAATCACGAGCCCGCCAGCACCGCGGGACTTGCAGCGCCCTCCGCCCTTCGCAGGCGGCCCAGACAGCCCCGTCCCGCCCTAGCGTTAGGAGACGCGCAGCGGAACCCCGGCGGCCCCAGCCCCTCCCCGCCCGCGCGTCCCCGCGTCCCCGCGTCCCCGCGCGACCCGCCTCCCAGATCCCGGCTGGGGCTCCCGGGCGCGCCGCGGCAGGGCGGGGCGGGGCCGGGGGCGGGGCCTTCTGGCAGTTTCTGGGAGCTGCGAACGCGCCGCCCCGGGGCTCGGCGGCCGGAAACGCTGGCTTCGGAGCCTTAGGCGCCGCGGCCTTTCCTTGTTTTCCGCCCAGTCCACGCCGCCATGGCCAAGTGGGGCCAGGGGAACCCCCACTGGATCGTGGAGGAGCGGGAGGACGGGACCAACGTGAACAACTGGCGCTGGCGCGGCTGGCGGCGGCCTCCTTCCGGGATCTGGGGAGGGCCGGGCCGCGGGAGCCGGGGCTGCCCTGGGGTCTGTGCGGGGCCGCGGGGCCAGGGGGTCAGGGGGCCGCCCCCCCTCAGCTGCTGGACGCAGGGCTCGGCCTTCGCCTCTCGGCTCGGGAGAGTCCTTGAGTACGGAGACCGGCTAGGAGGGTTGCAGCTGCCTCTTTTTGAAAGTTGGGTTGGGCCCCAAGAGTGACTTCCGACAGACCTTTCCACTCCCACCGTCTGTGGCCTGAGGGCCTTCCCTTCTCCTCCCGCCCACCCCTCTGGATGTTTCGGGGAGTTAGAAGGGAGCTGGATTGAGAGACTGTGTTAGGGGCGGGGGTATGGAACGTAGTGGAAAGGGCAGAAATTTGGATCTCAGTTCGCGCCCACCCCGCAGGCGCCTCCCGCGAGCCGGGCCCTCTGTGAGTGAGACAAGCTCCCCTTCCTTTACGCGCCTCACCTGGCGCGTGGGGAGAGGTCGGCAGCCCTCCGCCGCAGAACCTCCGGAAGGGATGTCCTCTGCCCTGCGCCTCTGGCCGGGGCTGTGGTCCCTCCAGGCCGTCGAGGGGATGCTGAGGCCGGTCCCCAGAGGAGCATGACTTGGCTGGTCCGGAGGAGCTCTGAGGGCATGGGCAATCTTGGCTCGCTGCAACCTCAGCTTCCAGAGTTCAAGCGAGTCTCCTGCTTCAGCCTCATGAGTAGCTGGGACTACAGATGCGTGCCACTACGTCCGTCTGATGTTTGTATTTTTAGTAGAGACAGGGTTTCACCATGTTGGTCAGGCTGCTCTCGAACTCCAGATCTCGTGATCCGCCCGCCTGGGCCTACTAAAGTGCTGGGATTACAGGCGTGAGCTAGATCTGACTTTCTAGTGTCCTAGCCTTGGCCCGATGGACATGTCATTTCTCTCAGCTCGTTTCTGTCCCCTAAAGTGAGAATATTGCCTGGGAAGATTACATTAGACGATGTATATGCGAAGACACTTGATAGCTGGTATTGTCATGATTCTGATTAGTTCACTACTGCTACTTTCCCTGTGGCCTAGGCTTTGCCTATTTCCAGTGGGCGAGCTAGCTAGATCCTCCTCCCTTAAATAAGCCAGTGTTTTTAAGACAGAATACTACTTGCATAGTGGACAATAATATCTTAAAGAACTGAGCAGGATGAAAAGAATTTGATAGAAAGCAGGTTTGAGGAGCACATTGGAGGTTGGCAGGTTTCGAGGCTGCTTGAGAGGACTTGGGCCGATCTGGGCTGGGCTTGGACGTGACCCTGGCACCCAGGCAGGTGGATCCCAGCTGGGGCTTCCATTCACGACTTTCTGGTCCCTGGCAGGACAGAGCGGGATGCCACCAGCTTGTCCAAAGGGAAGTTCCAGGAGCTCCTGGTGGGCATCGTTGTGGAGAATGACGCTGGCCGCGGCGAGATCAACGAGTTGAAGCAGGTGGAAGGGGAGGCTTCGTGCAGCAGCCGCAAAGGAAAGCTGATTTTCTTCTATGAGTGGAACATCAAACTGGGCTGGAAAGGTAACAGGGGCCTCAGGGTACTAGTGGGGCTGGGGACAAAGTGCGTTCATCATTCAGCGAATGTTTTTACAGCCCCTGCTATGGGCCTGGCACACTGACTGGCTCCTGAATCAGCGTTGGTAGATCCTGACACTCTGGCCACACTTGAGTTCCATGGGCCAAGAAGGATGGGGATTTCCCTTCTCGCAGCACTCGCAGCTGCTTAGAGCTCATTGCTGTCAGCTGGGCCCTCTTCTACCAGGCCCTTGTGAACAGGAGTCTCCCGGCATTGCTGCCTGGAGCACTCTTCCCCCAGGTAGCTGCCTGCCTCCTTCAGGTCTTTGTCCTGAGTAAAGCCATCTCTGTGCATCCTTGGAGACTCCTGCCTTGTGCCATCTTTCTTCCCTACTTTATTTTTCCCCAAGGCACTGAAACTTGCTTTACAAAACTATTTTGCTTACTGTCCTGCTCCCTCTTTCTGTCATTCAGTAGGGTAGGGATTTCTTTTAAAAACGGCTTTTTTGAGACATAATTCACTCATTTAGTGTGTATAATTTATTGGTTTTCGGTATAGTCACAGAGTTGTGCAGCCATCACTACAATCAATTTAGGAACATTTCACCACCCCAAAACAAAACCCTGGACCCATGAGCAGTCACTCTTGTTGCCCTCCTCTTCCCCAGTCCCTGGTGTCTGCTCACCCGTTTTCTCTGGATTGGCCTCTGAACATTTCACATAGATGAATCATGTAGGATGTGTTTTTTGGTGTCTGCCTTCTTTTACTTCATAATGTGTTCAACGGTCATCTGTGTTGTGTCAGGTAGCAGCACTTTATTCTTTTTTATAGCTGATGAATATTCCACGGGTGCATATACTGCATTCTGTTTCTCCATTTATCAGTTGCCGGGCATTTTGGGTGTGTCCACTTTTGGGGTCTGTGGGTTCAGTTCTCCAATGGTGCCTCGATCCTGGCTGAGCAGACAGCGTGTGCGCACTCAGTCCTTGTTGAGGGAGCCAAGTCTGTGGAGATGCAGGGAAGGGAAGAGGAGGAGCTAGGGTTTGAGCCTCAGCCCAGGAGTCAGCTCCTATCTGGAGTGTGTGCCCCAGAGCAGTCCAGTGAGTTGGCCTCGAGCCTCTGCCCTGCTGGCTGCCTTTCTCACAGACGAGGGTGTTCAGCCCTTCCCCCTTCGCCTCAGAACAGGCTCAGAACTCCTCTGGCTGGGAGTTTGCCTCTCTTGCAGCCCCCTGTGTCTGCTGCTGTCTGGATCATAGCAGTCTGGCTCCCTGCCCACTACCCCAGCACCGAGCCCTAAGGCCTGAGGAACCTTGTGGGCCTTGTGTCTTTTCCATCTCTCTTGGCTCCTTTGCAAGGATAAGACCCAGCCACTGCCAGGCAGCAGCCAGAGGACGGGTTGTTAGGGCTTGTCCTAACACCTCCCAGCTGCTCTCCTCCAGCAGCGAGTCTCTAGGGTGGCAACTGGGACCCACTGGGGAGGAGGCAACACTCTAGTCCTGAGAGAAGTCTACCTGCCTGGTATCCCCCACACAATGCCCTCAAGCCAGAGCCTCCCTCCCCTCCGTGGTCAGAACGTACTGTCCCTTTCTGTCCTTCCATCGCTTTTGTGACTGCTTCTCCCCTTCAGGGTACTCCTTTGTCCTGCTTTGCCCAGGCAAAGAGTACCCTGGGACAAGAAGAGGAATATGGGTGCACTTGCCCCACACTCCTCTCAGGACGGCGGACTGCTGACTCCTCATGCCCTCTCCTTGGCCATGGCCTGCCTGACCTTTCTTCCGTGGCTGCTCAGGGGGCCCTGGAGTGGTGGAACCCTGTGAGGGCAGCTGAGCTATTCAGTGAGGTAGGGCAGTTTTTCATAAAATCAATTTTTTTTTCTTTTTTGAGACAAGGCTCACTGCAGCCTTGACCTCCCAGCAATCCTCCCACCTCAGCCTTCCAAGTAACTGGGACCACAGGTGTGCGCCACCATGCCCAGATAATTTTATTTTGTAGAGACAGTGTCTCCCTGTTGCCCAGGATGGTCTTTAAACTCCTGGGCTCAATCCATCCTCACCACAGCCTTTCAAAGTGCTGAGATTATAGGCATGTGCCACAGTGCCTGGCCCAGTTGTTACTTTGTATTATAATTGAAGAACCCATTTTGCTCATTTTAGGCATCGTTAAAGAATCTGGAGTGAAGCACAAGGGATTGATTGAAATACCCAATCTTTCTGAGGAAAATGAAGTAGATGACACTGAGGTATGTGATCAAGTTTCTATTTCTTTTGTTCTTTTTTCAGTCAAGCTTCTGCTACAGACATTGGGCATTTCAAATAGTGTTGATCAGACTGTGTGGTTCCTGTGTGGTAGTTCGGGTGCCTTGTGGAGGGCCTGTTTGCCGAGAAGGATTGCCGTACTGTGGGGGCAGCGTGTTGTGTGGAGCTGGAGTGGTACAGGAAAGAGAGTAAGCCCCAGGAAGCCCTGAGCTCCCCCGAGGACCAGGCAAGGGGCCTGGGCAGCTGGCTGCACCCTCCTTAGCCTCCTCATCTGTGAAAAGGGGTTAATTTCTCTTCCAGGGGTGTTGTCACGTTAGATGTGACAGTGTGTGCACTGTAAACTGCTCAGGCAGCTTGCATGGCTTGATGAATGTGACTCTCCCTCTTCTCCTGCACCTTTGCCGTTTCCCTTTAATGGTGAAAAGTCTCAGCCTTTAGCTGCTATCTCTCCCTTGGTTATGCCTCACGGTTTTTTGTAAACTACCCAGTTAGTACGTGTTGCTTTTGTGGCTCTCTTGGTTCTCTTGGGAGACAGAGCCTTGTGTAACTCCCATGCTTGGCTTCAAGTTAGTGCCCTCTTTTGGCTGAAAGCTGGGTTTTGGGGGTGAGACCATTTGTACAGCCGCTATATTTTTCAAACGAGGATAGTCTGACAAAGGATTTTTTTTGATTTGTGAACGTATTTAACATGAAGGCTTTTCAAGATAGGCTGACTCCTGCCCAGCAGTATGTCTTATGGCACGAAGGTTATGCAGTGCCACAGGCCGGGGGCTGTCCCAGACCTCTGTCTTCAGTTATGTGGTTCCTCTGCTCAGGGCCTGAGATTCCACTTTGTTATATTCAGATCCATCAGCTGAGAAATTTTTCAACAGAATGTTTAACTGGTTTTTAAGATTTAATCTCTCAGTAGCATTACGGAACAAACTCTTTAGATTCAAACTGGGGCCCGAGATCAGGCCCCCCTCAACTGAAGCATCGGGACACTAAATTTTTTCAAATCGACCCCTTTTTCTTCTGGGAATACTAGAGACATCCCCACAGCCCTCTGTTGCTTCCTTCTCCCTTGGCCTCCCCCTTCTTCCCTCTCTTCTTCCTTCCCTCTGCCTGTCTTCTACTCTTCTCCCTTTCCCAATTTTCCTCTCTGCCAAAAAAGTATATAATCCAAGGCTGGGTTGTATGGGAACTTGATTTCCCTAATTACGGTGGCTTTTGGGTTCTATACCAGCACTGTTCCATGTAAATATAATGCAAGCCACATGTGCAGTGTAAGTTTTACTAGTAGCCGTACTTAAAAAGTTAAAGCTGTGGCTGGGCATGGTGGCTCACACTTGTGATTCCAGCACTTTGGGAGGCCAAGGTACGAGGCTCACTTGAGCCCAGGAGTTCGAGGCTGCAGTGAGCCATGGTCATGCTACTGAACTCCAGTCTAGGCAACAGGGAGACCCTTAAAAAAAAATTAAAGCCAGGTGTAGTGGCATATGCCTATAATCCCAGCTGCTTGGGAGGTTGAGGGGAAGGATTGTTTGAGCCCAGGAGTTTGGGTCTAGCCTCCGCAACATAACGAGATGCAAGCTCTTAAAAAAAAAAAAAAAAAAAGATAAACAGGTGAAATTAATTTTAATAATATATTTTATTTAACCCAGTATATATAAAAAAGATTTTAGCATGTAATTAATATAAAAATTATGAGGTATTTTACATTCATTTTTGGTAGTAAGTCTTTGGAGTCTGGCACGTATTATTTCACACAGCACATCTTGATTCAGGCCAGCCATATTTCAGGTTCTCAGTAGCCACATGTGACTAGTGGCTACCATACTGGACAGTGCATTTCTAGACCCCATGAAAGCCATGGACCACATCAGCAATAGGATTTATATACATACACATGCACAACTTTGTATGCAAATTAAAGGGTTTACATTCTATGAAGTCCATGCAAGATTTGGCCCCCAACCCTGTCATGGACCCTGGATTAAAAACCCTTAAAATCCTGCCCTATCACATCTCTTACATCTACTTCTTTCCTTCCTCCACTGCCATAGTTCTCTCATCCATACAGCCCAATGTTGTAAGAATACATCAAACCAGATCTTTCTTTGGTTTCTATTTTTCTGATTTGTAGGTCAACGTTGAGTAAAAAGAAAGGAGATGGGGTTATACTGAAGGATCTTATGAAAACTGCAGGCACTGCCAAGGTCAGGGAGGCCCTTGGAGATTACCTGAAGGCACTTAAGACGGGTAAAGAAGGCATCCCTTGTGAATCAGAGGGGTCCCTTTTCTATTTACCCAAGTTATACTCTACACTGTGGTCAGAGGCTCCAGAAGCAAGTTTATACTTCAGAATAAATTGTAGTCTGGAAGTTGAGAGCTAGTCATCGTTAAGACCATAATTAGTGATAATTAGTATTGTACACAGCATGAACCATTTTGCCTACAGAACTGTTAATTGTAGTTTTCTGGAATGAAAATCAGTTGTTCGTGTAATTACTTGTTTAATGTCTGACTTCCTTGCTAGACTATAAGCTCCATGAGGGCATGGAAGGTGTCTGTCTTGTTCACTGCTGTATCTCCAGCATCTAGCACAATGCCTGGCACATAGTAGGTGCTTAATAAATCTTTGTTGGATGAATGAATGAATGGATGAAAGTGACTGCAGGTATTACAGGTGTAATTGAGAAATACCTAGATAATATCCGCATTGCATGGAAGTGAGGTTATTGTTGTCTTCCCTAAATTAGAGAAGTGAGGCAGGCAAGATGGCCAGCAGTGCCTTATCTCTGTACCTCGTTCTTGGACCCTACCACCTGAGTATCTAGGTGTTGGCATAGATGGGTTTGGGGTTGTCACTTTTCCCGTGAGAGCGCACATATAGCTGGCTCACAGGCTTTTGAATACTGTGAAGACAAGCTTTGTGAGGCAGTGGTCACCCTCACGTGAGAAATTGTCTGTTTTGACAGTAGGTTAGAGCCACAAAGCTATTAGTAGTTAATCATATAAAACTTAGCTGTTTGGAAAAGAACTTTGGAAAATTTTGCTGCTTTAGCAAAAACTTGATAAAAGTGAGGCATTTGAAAAAAAGGCATTTGTTGCTGTGGAACTCACATTGTTAATCATCAGTAGTTTTATATGTAAAAACTTGGAATGGTCTTGAAATTCTCAAAATGTTATAGGAATTATTTTTATAAATGTTTTATTTTCTTACATGCTGTTTTGGGTTTTCTACCTTACTCTTTGTGCTTAAAAGGAGAAAGGTCCTTACTAAAACCACTTCCCTTGTTTCTTTATAGAATTTACAACGGGAATGATTTTACCAACGAAAGCTATGGCAACCCAGGAATTGACTGTCAAAAGAAAACTGAGTGGGAATACCCTGCAGGTATGAGCTCTGTTGGCCAAAATGTAGGGAAGGGGTAAAGGAAGTGTTTGAGTCAGGGCTCCGAATGGCCGTGTTGATGGAGAACTGAGGACAGCGAGGGCCTTCTTCCGCCTTTGAGTCTCCCGTGAGTCCTCTAAGATCTCCCATTTTGTTGTGCAAATGATAAAATGAGACTTTGATTCTTGATGGAAGGGATTGTTACAGACACGCCTTTCTTTGGGATAAATACCTGACTCAAGAGTGTCCTAAGGGCAGTGTTCTTTGGTAGGCCACAGAACCAGATGACTTTCAAGATCCACATAGCATAATAAAAGAAACTTCTTTGCTCACTTTTGGACTGGGAGTTTAGATCTGTTCTTGGAATGGGTGTTCTGTGTGTAATGGACACCCTTTAGCTTTAGCTGCAGTTGTCTTTCACCTGCTCACGGCTGTATCTGGAAGTCCAGCTAGGATGAGGGGTATTCAGTCATATATGACCTGGGAACAGAGCTGAAGAGCTGTAGGAACAGTGAGCTCTGGTTCCAAAGTAAAGACCAAGACTGGTGGTGCTAAAAAGGCTTTTCATGCTGTTTGTATGTGTGTCTGGAATAGGCAGTATGGAATTTGGGACATTTGATGTTTTACTGAGAAGACTATTGTAATCCAAGCAGCTTTCTCTCTTGTTATGCTAATCATTCCCTGGAACCTCTTCCCTTCTCCAGGTTCAGGCCTCATCTCCAGTGGCACTGGGTGTAAGGATTCCCACTGTGGCTCTTCACATGATGGAACTGTTTGACACAACTGTAGAGCAGCTGTATAGCATCTTCACTGTAAAGGAGGTAAGTAACTCCCTAAGCTAGCATGTTAAGTGCTGACATTGGGAGAAAATACATTACAAAGAACAGGAGCTGGTTTTTGGTTTTCCTTGTGGCTGTGTTTTTGATTGAAGGGATGTGGGATGGTGGTGACAGAAGTCTGAGCATAGTTTCTGAATAATTGGAGGGGAGATGGGCATTCTTTGGGACTATGTCCGCATTACATTGAGTTTTCTCCCTCTAGGAAGAGAGAGTTTGTGTTTTATTTTCTGTAAGTAAAAGCTACATGTTTAGGATTTTTAAACCATATTAATTGTTATATTTTGTATTTCATAATTATATTATGTGTTAGTGTGTACTGGAATAACATGTTTTATTTGGTTAGTTGGTGCAAAAGTTTTCTAAATCTACTGCTGTATTAGAAACTGAAAAGGGAGGGAAATTCCAGATGTTTGATGGGAACATCACTGGTGAATATCTAGGATTGGTAAGTAGACTCAAGGTTGAAGAAGTAAGGTGGGATTAACTCTTAATATTACTTTTTGTATATGCTGTTTTTAGCACCGAAATCACGAGGGTCTGTGTTGCCTCAACCTTAACAGCAGCCCTCTGTTCTGGTTACTATTACTGTACTTAAAACATTATTATATATTCCTGCTGTCCTTGATGTTACTGCTGTTCTGAGACATTTTGGCAATAAAGACAATTATCAGTGGTGCTGATGTATAAACTGGAAGAAGGACCGTATGTTGTTCATTGATTCTTCTAGGAGTTTCAATGAAAGGATTTTTCTGTGTTGTATTGTGGGAAGTCTTAAAAGATTTTCAGTGGAATTTCCCCTCTCTTTTCAGTTAACAAATAAGAAGATCATCATGAAATGGAGATGTGGGAACTGGCCAGAAGGTATGTTACTAATTACTGCCCTTCATATTAAAGGTCCCAAAACACTAAGGCTAGGTTTTTCGTATGGATAAATTTTCCTTTTCATAATGCAGTAATAAGGTTCCTATTTTTTTTCTTAGAACACTATGCCATGGTTGCACTGAATTTTGTGCCTACTCTAGGGCAAACAGAATTACAATTGAAGGAGTTCCTATCTATCTGTAAAGAAGAGAACATGAAATTCTGTTGGCAGAAGCAGCATTTTGAAGAAATAAAAGGTTCACTGCAGCTGACCCCCCTAAATGGTTGAATTAAAATTTATTATAAGGCATTACTTTTTGTAAGCGGAAAAAGTGTCACATTTACCTCTTCCCTATCTTTTGTTTAAAAGGACTGTCTTTATTTTATATTGGATGAAATCTATGAACATATATACAATGTAAAGCATTGTTTGACTCTTTATTATAACTAGACACTGCATTGATTTAAAAGTAGCAAACAACCTGAAATTAAGTATTAACCTGACCTTCCATCGATATTCCTCTGGAAATAGGTAAGTCCTGAGTGCAGATAGTTGATGTTTCCCAAGCTGAAGCTTGTCCTATAGCAAGCTTGCTTGCAGCTGTACTTTTAGTTCAAGATGACAAAAAATAAATGGCATGTTGACACTATTCCTTTATTTTACTTTAGGGTTTTTAAGGTGTGTAGATCTTAGGTCGTAAAACAGTGGTATATTGCATTCAAAAGCATGTTGAGGTGAGGGCAAATTGGCTGTGTTTTGCTCCACATCTCCCTGCACATCTCCCTGCTGTGGTTTTGCACTTCGGTGTGGAGAGGATTGAGAAGTCTGTGGGGACACATTAGTTCTGTGGACTGCTGGTAACACTTCCAGTGAAACAGCATATAATGGATAAATGTTTCCCCCCTCTTTCACGGTTTTCTCACTACTTTCACCTGAGAAGACTGAAGCAACGTATGTAAACAAATGAAAAGTCATCACAATCAGTTTAATTAAGTGCACAGAATAGCAATCAATCAATCAGTCATGTCAATAAAAATAAAACAATTATTTTTACATCAAGTGTGCTTTATTTCCTCCACAGGTATTCTGTTAAATAAAGCACCATTTATATACTGCCAGGCCACAGCTAAAGAGGATTCTTTACAGAATCAAATTTCTTGTGGTTGTTCCGTATACAAGTAAACTTAATTTTGATAATAAGAACCACAGCGATCGGAGGCAATCTGCCTCTATAAGGTACAAAACTGGCACAGAGGACACCATATCATACACAGTAAAAATGCTGTAAGTTTAAATTACATTGTACAGGGCTAGGCAACCCTGTTCTTCCCAGACAGCCATATTAAATGAAAGCCACTAAAGTGAACTCTTAATTACATAAAACATATCCATTATCTGATTGCCCTTTAGGAAGTATACTGAAGATGCAAGTTTTTTTCATCTGGAGTTCTGCCTGACCAAGAATTAAGCCTATAAATCTATCTTGCCATTCAAGCAGAGAGCACTGGACAAACTGAAGCACAAAAACAAATAAGCAAAACTTATACAAACAGCATGGGGGTTGGGGGTGAGGGACTTAAAAGTAGACATGCTACACCTAATGTCAAGAAGCAGCTTGGTTTCCTTTGCCAGATATCCTTGTGACGACATGGATTGTAGATTCAATGGTCCTACACAGGGTATCTAAAATGTCATGTTGCTGCATATGACTAAAGAGTCCTCTGGAATGGCCACAACTGAGAGATAAAGCAACCTCAGGGTCCTGGGAGGGCAAAGCTTGGCCATCACAGCTTCTCAAGTCAGCTAAGTCAGACAGAACTGCAGAGATAGAAGTAGAAGGGAACTCAGATTCTTCCTCAGCTAGGGTAGAATCCTTGGAACAGTGGAGGTCTTTAAATTCTTTACAATCGTCATATCTACCATTGTTGGACTGTTCTTCTGCATGCTGTGACCTGATATTTGACATGTCTTCTGAAAACGAAGATGGAACTTCCATTCGGTATTCTTTAACAGAACTATTTTCAGGGGAAGGAAGATCTTGCTCAGTTCCTGGATCAATAATTGAGGAGTCTCTGGTCTCATTGTCAGAAGTGCTCGTTGGGGTCAGGACCTCCCTGGTTTCTGTTTTCATGTCACTGATGCAGCTGTCTACAGTGTGCTCCTCATCACTGCTAACACGCCGCCTTTTAATGGGAGTTGCTCCTTCATCATCTGTGAAAACACATGCCAAAAGGGAAACTTCTCTGAAAGTCATTAAGATCACGTTAGGGGGGGATGTGGGAAGTTAATTTTGTTTCTAGCATTTATATTTAGGAGGTTCAGCTGAACACACAACTCTTAAACCAGTTACACCAAGTGTATTACTCCCTCCTCCCACCCTAAAGGTAATGATAGTAGTCCATAAAGCTAACCTTTAGTTTTTCTTTCTTTGGCTTCTTGCTCTTGGAGTGAGTTTCTCTGTTGCAGACAAGTCCTGCATTTGCTTAAAAGCTCTTGCAGAGTTGGAATTAGAGCTGGGTTTAACTGTTTGGGAGTGTGTACTGACAGGAGCAAAGCGAGTGCCCTCAGGTCCTACAAAAACCCAGATAGGAACATTTCAAATTCTAAAGCCAACACTTTGATGCAGTTGTTTACAGTTAATTGCAGATGTTTATTTTCCCAGGAATCCATTCTTTCCTAAGAATACCCTGGTTTCTCTGGGATTCTTAGAATGATAAAACCAGAAAGCCAGTGTTAAGATACTACAGCATTTCATTAGTTGTTTTTTTTTTTTGTTTTGTTTTTGTTTTTTTTGAGATGGAGTCTTGTTCTTTGGCAAGGCTGGAGTGCAGTGGTGTAATCTCGGCTCGCTGCAACCTCCACCACCCGGGTTCAAGCGATTCCCCTCCCTCAGCCTCCCAAGTAGCTGGGACTACAGGCGCCCGCCACCACGCCTGGCTTAATTTTTTCTATTTTAGTAGAGACAGGGTTTCACCATGTTGGCCATTGAGATGGTCTCAATCTCCTGACCTCGTTATCCACCGGCCTCGACCTCCCAAAATGCTTGGATTGCAGGCATGAGCCACCGTGCCCAGCCTCATTAGTTCTTAAAGTCACTAATAGCATTATTTTATGCCCACGAACCAGTAAGTCAGACCAAAGCCTGAAATAGTGTTTTCTGAAAAATGGAAAAGGAAATATAAGAATTTTAAAAACAAACCTTGAAATCAGTTTCTCAAGTTAAAATTCTGATGGATGTCACAAATAGTAAGGTCTTCCTTACTGAGCTCTGTCATCTGTTTTGGCTTTTATGCATACTGTGATTTGGGAGGCTGCTGCTCAACATTCTAGCCCATTTCCAGAGTGTTCCATTATTCTAGGACATGGCTGTCATGGGAGTCTGCACAAGGCAACTAATGCTCTAGATTTAACTGCCTTTTTTAAATCAGTAGATCATTAATTGTTTCAGTTACATAGGAGCCATAGGCAGTAATAGAAACATCACAAGTATTGTTTCCAAAAATATACCCAACTAGAGATAAGACCACTAAGATGTTCCCTTTATTACCTTTCAGCATTTAATGATACCAGCTTGTAGCTTCCAAGGTGATAGAGTGTGCTGTGTACATACAAGGCATAGTAAACGTGTATTTAAAACTTGTTTTTTTGTCGCACATGGCTTAAGAGTTTGAATCAGTAAGTTAAAGTTACGAGAGTAAAATCATATGAAGGCCACACAGTTAACTGAAGGACAGTTTAAAAGTGTGTGCCGCCGCCTCTGCATAGTTCTTACCCCATTTAAAGAAGCACTTGCTTTGGAAATTTCAACTCGGTTGGAGAAATCAGACTGTAGGTTCTGATACTGGCTTATCAAGTTTGTAATAAGAGTGCTGATCAAATTGGCACAGTTTGCTTCAGAAAACACTTGACTTTGAACCTGAAAAAGAAGATTTAAAAAAATCTCCAAAAGACCAGCATAATGAAACCACAAGCATTAACTAATTAGAAATGACACACTGAGTTTCCAAAGTACTACGTACCTTTAGAAGGAAATGTGTCATGAACGTGTAGACAATGTTGTTGTTTAAAAAAGTTCTTTCATCCATTAGGATACATTTAATATATTCTGCGAAAACAGGATCTTCACACAAAAGCTTGATGCAGTTTTTTGACATAGCAGACTAAAGTGGGGAGAAGATGGTTGAGCACTTACGGTTGAGCACGGAAAAAACTTACACGGAAAAAACTTACACAGAAAAAACATACACTTGTGTATGATGGAATCTGAAGCCACTGAAAATCCTACTTGAAAAGCCATGTCTAACTCACCTATTGAATTTTTAGTTAACAGCAACTATTTTTCATACAGTAAAATGTTACTAATTTAGATTAAGGGAGTGCTGGGGGAAGACACTGATGCCGAAACTGAACAAATGTTTTAAAAGAAATGCAGGTTTATTATCCAGCACTGAGAGAGTTAACAAGGACTGGAAAAATAAGGCTAACAAAGAATAGGATGTGAATGTTTTCAAGGGCCAAATTAATGTATTTATAGGTAACCAGAGCATATGTTGCAAAAAGACACATTTTAAGAATCAAAATCAATTCTCCAAAATGTTTTAAACTTTACTGTATATTCTCGCTAGCAACAGTAATTCTGTAAATACCTTTTCCCCCCATAAACACTGCAAGGGTAAACAATAAATCTTCTTTCCTAATTATCTCACACAGAATCAGTGGTCTCAATATATGGAAATTTTACTAAAATTTGGTTTTCCTGTTTTCAAATAGTCATGGCTCTTAAACACAAGTAGTATGTCTTTAAGCAGATACACTCCATAGATTTAAATGTGCATTTTAATAATTTATATGGAAAAAAGCAATATATTTTTTAAATAGGACAAAATTTAGATTATATATATATATATATGCATATGTGTATATCTTATTAAAGTATGCAGCTGTCATAAGTAAATTACTCAAGGTCAGTCAAGAAATTAGGATTCAAGTAGGACCAAGACCCAGGTCTTGAGATCCTTAACACTAGGAAAAACCTGCCTTGGTCTACCAGTCACAGCCTGTGCCTCTGCCTCTGTTTCTTGCTCAGGATGGCTGCTTCTATAGCACTGGAAGCTTTGGAGGCCTTATATGGTTAGGCTTTGTTTTAAGGGAAATTTGGGGGCACAGTGAGTTCTGTCTGTGAAAGAAGTCAAGCGAAGGGAGTCCTGCGATGCAGAAGTAGAGAAAGCAATAGGGAGCAATAGGTAGTGGGAGAGTACAGAAACCAAGAAACTACCCAAATCAGGAAGAATGAAAAAGAACAGCAGTAGCAGTGGAGAGGGAAAACGAGATCTCCAATTGACTGAACAGAACACTCAGCTCAAAAATCAACTGATAAAAGTCATTTTCTGAATGCCTACTGTATGCTAAGTCAAGTGAGCTAAGATCAGTGTATACTAGCCTCTGAAAGATTTCTACTGTAGAGAACAACGTGGCATTTCTTCAGGGGATGGAGATGACTCTGATAAGGTCTCTACACTTGAGTTCTGTTTTGGAAAAGTAGAGAAACCACCAGTAGAGTACAGGATGGCAAACATCTAGGAGAATCCAGAGCACACTACAGCCTGGTAGGAGGCTGAACCAGACTCAAAATACTTCAGGAAAGCATGATGTGGGTCAAGGGTTGCACCTAAGGAAGGTGAATAAATTCATCTCTTCCAATGGGGTAGAGCAGATGCAACCAGGCAGTACAATCAACAGTTTTTTCAGGGACTGAAAGGTAGTGGGGATCCTTTATGCCTGATCCAAGGAATGAGCCAAACATTAGTACCTCCTCCTCTTCCCAATTCTGCCTTTGTAACTTAACAAGCATTATTTATGCAGCCACTTAATTTTAAGGAGTTGGCTCTTAGACACTTAAGGTAGGAACAGTAATCTTTCCTGTTTTCAAGGAGATCGCTGTAAGAAAACAAGTGCATCAGACCCCTGAAAAACTACAGATTATGAAAAGCTAAAGGACAGACTGCTGACAGGGTTTCTGCTAGAGGTTTTGGAATGGTGGAAAAGAGGTAGAGACAGGGAGGTGAAGGAGAGGAAGAAGTGGCAAGTGCCTTTTCCCCCACTATCTCCCTGTTTTGGATTTTCCCCACAACTGTTGATATACATCTATAAATGAGAAATTCAATTATAACCAGCTTATTTAAAATATCCTCTATGATAGAAATCTACTTAAGTTAAAAAAATCAAAGGGAAACTAGATGCCTAATATGTAATAGCTAGTATTTTCATTCATTCATATGTTACCTATCAAGATTCTAAAATGTCCCCACTTTTCAGCAAGTCTTCAACCCACTGTTCCTAAAATTATTGACCACTTGGTCAGATAAGATTAAAGACCAATCATCTAAAACTCATTTTCTTTACCTGAGTCTGGCATAGCTCAGTCCAAAGTTTGGGGAACAGTGCAAGATGAAGTGGCAAACCTTCATAGGCAACTAGGACACCTAATATTTGAAAAGAAATCAGAATAGGTTATAATTATAAATTATACTAGTGAGATACTCAACTCTGCAGGTACAATATTACAGCTATTTCTAGTCATAACTGCATATTTTCTATATTTTAAAGTACATAAAGGGGAAAAATTCATTCCAATGTTTAGTGAAATATCTTAGAATGTGGTACTTTGAATTTATTTATATCCTATACCTCATTCCTGAAGGATATGGGACTTAAATCAACTCTTCTTTTTTGAGTATTAGAACTTTATCTGGGAAAAGAAAAAGTTACTGCAAGTGGCTCCAAATCTTTCTTGGATTAAGGTACCACTCTGCCTATTAGATAATTTTCATAGGGTGGCTAGACTGCAGGAGGGAGGAGGGGAAAGGTAAAAAAAAAAAAAAAAAAAAAAAAGTGGAGAATTAAACATATCTTTCCTCTTTTACCTTCTTTCTTCAAAGATAGAATGACCTTTGTGGTACATTTAAGTAAATGCGGCCCTTAACACCAGTTTCTTGGCTTGTTCCCAGGATCTTCTGAGTGGACCGCATCTGGCACTATGTCAGAGAGTGCTATTTGGAACCTCTATGAATTTACTTCTCCACTTCTTGACTATTCCAGATGTAAAATATGTCACTAAGATGTGTGCCCCTATCCTCTGTCATCCTATCTCTGAAAGTACAGAAGCTTCATTACCACAGTCCTAAATGAATTTCCCATCTTCCACATCCCCTAGGGTCCCCAGGGCAAGTATAATCATGGAGAAGAAGAAATATAACACAGACCATCCTCTTCCAGTTAAGAAAAGACTGAGTTAGACAAGGAGTCAGCAAACTTGTTCTGGGAAGGGCCAAATAGTGTTTGAGGCTTTGTGGCCATGCTCTGTTAACACAGCTCAACCCTGCTGAGGCAGTGTGAAGGCAGCCTTAGACAAGAGTAAGGAAATGGGTGTGGCTGTCTTTCAGTAAAACTTTACAAACACTGAAATGGGAATCTCATAATTTTCATGTCAGAAAATATTCTATATTAAAAAAAAATTTAAAAATATGAAAACTATTCTTAGCTAGCAGGTAGCCATGGTTATACAAAAACAGGCAGCATGTGGGTTGTAATTTGCCAAACCGTGGGTTAGACCAAGGACTTGAGAACATCCTACACAGGCAAGTCAGGTCACTCACTCAGAACTTACCAAGGATGCCTAGGATCCCTTCCACAGGTAAGCCAATTTATTTTCCTGTCAAGATGAGTCCCTTTAGACACAAGAGGCAAGGAAATGCTACTTCCCCTTTATCCTAACCTAATCTGGTTGGTGTTTGGCAGCATATACCCACCACGGTATCACCACACACATAGGTAAACAAGGACATGTCATCACATCTGTGGCTATAGGGAAGAGAGTTCCTACGTTCCCATGTTCCTGTATCCTAATTACTCATCAAAGTAGAGGAAGGGTTAGCAAACTATGGCCCTCAGGCCAAATCTGACCCATGGCCTGTTTTTATATGGACTTGTGAGCTAAGAATGGCTTTTTCTTTGAGACAGACAGTGTCTTCACTCTGTTGCCCAGGTTGGAGTGCAGTGGCGTGATCACAGATCAGGGGCAGCCTTGAACCGCTGTGCTCAAGTGATCCTTACACCTTAGCCTCCGTAGTAGCTAAGACTGCAGGCTGGGACAATTTTCTTAAAAAAATATTTTGGGGCCAGGCGCAGTGGCTCATGCCTGTAATCCCAACACTTTGGGAGGCCAAGGTGGGCGGATCACCTGAGGTCAGGAATTCGCAACCAGCCTGACCAACATGGAGAAACCGTCTCTAGTAAAAATACAAAACTAGCAGGGCGTGGTGGCACATCCCTGTAATCCCAGCTACTTGGGAGGCTGACGCAGGAGAATTGCTTGAACGCGGCAGGCGGAGGTTGCGGTGAGCCGAGATCGTGCCATTGCACTCCAGCCTGGACAACAAGAGTGAAACTCTGTCAAAAAAAAAAAAAAAAAAAGTTTTGGGCCAGGTATGGTGACTCACGCTGGTAATCCCGGCACTTTGGGAGGCCGAGGCAGGAGAATAATGAAACCCCGTCTCTACTAAAAATACAAAAATTGGCTGGGTGTGGTGGCACACACCTGTAATCCCAGCTATTCAGGAGGCTGAGGCAGGAGAACTGCTTGAACCCGTAAGGCAGAGGTTGCAGTAAGCCAAGATTATGCAACTGCACTCCAGTCTGGGTGACAGAGCAAACTCTCTCAAAAAGTTTTGTAGAAATGGGGTCTTGCCATGTTGCCCAGGCTGGTCTCAAACTCCTGGCATAATTCATCCTCTTGCATTGGCCTTTGAAAGTGCTGGGAGTACAGGCATGAGCCATCATATCCGGCTGGCTTTTACATTTTTAAAGGTTAAAAAAAAAAAAAAAAAATCAGCCAGGCTGGGCATAGTGGCTCATGCCTGTAACCCCAGCACTTTGGGAGGCCAAGGCAGGCAGATCATGAGGTCAGGAGTTCGAGACCAGCCTGACCAACATGGTGAAACCCCGTTTCTACTAAAAATACAAAAATTAGCCAGGCGTGGTGGCACGCACCTGTAATCCCAGCTACTCAGGAGGCTGAGGCAGGAGAATCACTTGAACCCAGGAGGCAGAAGTTGCAATGAGACGAGATTGTGCCACTGCACTCCAGCCTGGGTGACAGAGCCAGACTCTGTCTCAAACAAAACAAAAAAACCATTAGCCAAACAAAAAACAGTATGTTACAGAGACCTTGTGGCCTGTGGAGTCTAAAATATATAGTGTCCCCTCTTTGCAAAAAGAGTCTGCTAACCCACTAACCTCTGAACTAGAGGCTGCTCTGACATTAACCCTCTTATGGGCAAGCAGACTGTATACTACAATTTCTCTAGTCATTTCTCCCCTACTATCCCCCCAAAGTAAAATAATCTTCAATTTTTTTTTCTTTTTTTGAGACAAGGTCTGGCTCTTATCACCCACGCTGGAGGACAGTGGCACGATCTCAGCTCACTGCAACCTCCGCCTCCTGGGCTCAAGCCGTTCTCCCAGCTCAGTCTCCTGAGTAGCTGGGACTACAGGTATGCACCACCATGCACGATTTTTTTTTTTTTTTTTTTTTTTTTTTTTGAGACGGAGTCTCGCTTTGTCGCACAGGCTGGAGTGCAGTGGCGCGATCTCGGCTCACTGCAGCCTCCACCTCCCGGGTTCATGCCATTCTCCTGCCCCAGCATCCCAAGTAGCTGGGACTACAGGTGCCCGCCACCATGCCTGGCTAATTTTTTTTTTTTTTTTGTATTTTTAGTAGAGACGGGGTTTCACTGTGTTAGCCAGGATAGTCTCGATCTCCTGACCTCGTGATCCACCCACCTTGACCTCCCAAAGTGCTGGGATTACAGGCGTGAGCCACCGCGCCCGGCCAATTTCTGTATTTTTTGTAGAGACGAGATTTCACCAAGTTGCCCAAGCTGATCTCCCATTCGTGAGCTCAAGTGATCCGCCTGCCTTGGCCTCCCAAAGTGCTAGGATTATGGGCATGAGCCATGGCACCCAGCCCTAAACAATTTTTTTTTTTTCCTTTCTAGACAGTCTCACTCTGTTGCCCAAAGCATGTTGCAGTGGCATCGTCTTGGCTCACTGCAGCCTCGACTTTCCCAGGCTCAGATGATTCTCCCACCTCAGCCTCTCGAGTAGCTGGGACTACTGGTGTGTGCTTCCAATGCCCAGCTGATTTTTCTATTTTTTGTAGAGACAGGGTTCTGCCGTGTTGCCCAGTCTGGTCTTGAGCTCCTGGGCTCAAGTGATCCAGCTGCCTCGGTTTTACGGAGTGCTGGGATTACAGGTGTGAGTCATCACATCCAGCTAAATATAAAGCAATCTCTATATCTATTTTCCACAACTACCAAGAAGCCAGCACTACCACGACAAACAAAAAAATACCATAGAGGCCTTTTATGATCTCTAATCACTTTGAAGTGGTATTCTGTTATAAGTATCTCTATTTTACAAGTAAAGATGGAAATAGGCCAGGCGTGGTGGCTCACGCCTATAATCCCAGGACTTCGGGAGGCCAAGGTTGGTGGATCACTTGAAGTTAGGAGTTCAAGACCAGCCTGGCCAACATAGTGAAACCCCCACTCTATTTAAAAAAAATAAAATACAAGAATTAGTTGGGCATGTAATCCCAGCTACTCAGGAGGCTGAGGCAGGAGAAATCACTTGAACCCTGGAGGCAGAGGTTGCAGTGAGCCGAAACTGTGCCACTGTACTCCAGCCTGGGGGACAGAGTGAGACTTTGTCTCAAAACAACAACAATTAAAGAAGGAAATGAACATTTTCTAGGTATGTCAGATCATTATATTAAATTTTCTCATCAATTTTGAGAGCCATCGTTTTATCCTAATTTTGCGCTTCTTTTGGATGAGGAAATTAGGCTCACAGAGATTATATAATCCTCTCAAATTCATTCCAAAGTCAGTATTGATATAGTTAAGACTGTAGTCTACCCCAGATTTATCTGATTCCAAAGCCCATAAGCTTTTCAATGTTTTCCGCAACTTCAGTCCATTTGTTAGCATTTTCATGATTTTCTTCACATCTGCCATCACCTGTACTATTGTTTACTTAATACTTACTTTCTCTCTTTTGAGACAGGATTTTGCTCTGTTGCCCAGACTGTAGTGCAGTGGCCCAATCACAGCTCATTGTAACCTTGAACTCCTGGGCTCAAGTGATCCTCCTGCCTCAGCCTCCTGAGTAGCTGGGACTACATGTGCATGTCACCAAGCCCGCCTTCTATTTTGGTGGGGGGAACAGAGTCTCACTCTGTTGCTCAGGCTGGAGTGCAGTGGCTCCATCTCAGCTCACTGCAACCTCCACCTCCCAGGTTCAAACGGTTCTCCTGCCTCAGCCTCCCAAGCAGCTGGGACTACAGGCGTGCGCCACCACGCCCAGCTAGATTTTTGTATTTTTAATAGAGACAAAGTTTCACCATGTTGGCCAGGATGGTCTCGATCTCTTGACCTGGTGATCTGCCTGCCTCAGCCTCCCAAAGTGCTGGGATTACAGGTATGAGCCACTGTGCCGGGCCGGCAGTACCAGTTTTCCATAATATTAAAATAACTTATTAAAATTACAAAACCAATGCATAATCATTACAATTAATTTAAACCTTACAGATATATTTAACCTAGAAAATGAAAGCATTCTATAATTTCATCCTTATAGAGTAAAATTCCTCTACTTTTTTCTGTACATGTACTAAGAGCGATTTTCCCCTTGTTTATAAGAATGTTTATATTCTGCATATTATTTTTACATTTTTATGTAATTCAATGAACATGCCTGTCTTATTTGTTTTCATGTCTCAATATAGGTGAACTATGGTTTACTTAACCAAGCTCCTACTGATAGACATTTGGGTTGTTTCCAGTTTTTACCCATTACAACCAAAGTGAAAATAAATATCCTCTGTATATTGGGAGGCCAAATTGCCTCCCAAATGGACTCTTGACTAGTACTCCATTATAAGATCTCTTCTTTCCCCAAACCATATGGGTATCATCTGAGCTTCACCCTATCTGATAGACTTTTTTTTTTTTTTTTTAAGAGAGAGAAATAGGCTGGGTGCAGTGGTTCATGCCTGTAATCCCAGCACTTTGGGAGGCAGAGGCACACGGATCACGAGGTCAGGAGTTCGAGACCAGCCTGCCTAATATGGTGAAACCTCATCTCTAATAAAAATACAAAAATTAGCCGGGTGTGGTGGTGGGCACCTGTAGTCCCAGCTACTTGGGAGGCTGAGACAGGAGAATTGCTTGAACCCGGGAGGTGGAGGATGCAGTGAGCCAAGGTCACACCACTGCACTCCAGCCTGGGCGACAGGGTGACACTCTGTCTCAAATTGTTTGCTTTATTAGTAAGTCTGGGCAACTTCTCATGTGGTTACCAAACACTTTTTTGTGTCTAAACTGCCTATTCATGTCCTTTGCTGATTTTACTTAACGTTCTTCATCATCTTACCAAATCCTAAAAATTTGGTATATATTGGCAGTGTTGGCTGTTTATCTGTTAAGTATGCAAACATTTTCCCAATTAGCTGTTTGTGTTTTAATTCAGTTTATGGCATTTTCACCATGTAGTATTTTCAATTTTTATGTAGTCAAAACTTTCAACTTCTTATTGTTTCTGGGTTTTGTGTCCTAGGTAGCATGGTCTTTCAAATCTCATGGTGGTATTCATGTGATGTTATGTTTTCCTTTAATATTTCAATGATTTTTTTCACAATTAAGTCCTTTTTTTTTTGAGACGGAGTTTCACTCTTGTCACCCAGACTGGAGTGCAATGGCGCCATCTCGGCTCACTGCAACCTCCGCCTCCCAGGCTCAAGCGATTCTCCTGCCTCAGCCACCCGAGTAGCTGGGATTTCAAGTGCCCGCCACCACGCCCAGCTAATTTTTGTATTTTCAGTAGAGACAGGGTTTTGCCATGTAGGCTAGGCTGGTCTCGAACTCCTAACCTCAGGTGATCCACCCACCTCGGCCTCCCAAAGTGCTGGGATTATAGGCGCAAGCCACTGTGCCCTGCCCCCAATGAAGTCTTTAATCCTCCTGGTATTAATTTTGGTCTAAAGAGTGACATATTAAAGATTTGCCCCATAGACAGCTAACCAGTTATGTCACTACCACCTATTTCCCACCAATTTCCCACCAATTTGGGATGTCATCTTTATCATCTACCAAGTCCTCATGTATCTTTATGTTTGTTGAGGCTATTTACCCACTGCTTTGCCTATGTATTTCTGAACCTATACTACATGGTTTTAATCATTATAGTTTACTGTTGTGAAATAAGGGAGAAAAACATCTACATTTGAAAAAAGGACAAATAAAAAATAAAAATGGTGAGAAAAGGTCTGTGATATCTTGATATTTATCTTTCTGATATTTTGAACTGTGAAGTATCTATTAAATTCTAAAAAATAAAATAAAAACTACCATAACTTTACTAAGTATTTTACACATCAGCAGTGCCAGTCCCTCTTACCATTGCTCTTTTTCGAGAGCTTTTTTAGGCTAAACCTGTGTGTGTGCGCATGCAGAGAGACAGGGTCTCTCTCTGTTGCCCTGGCTGGAGTATAGTGGTGTGATCACAGCTCACTGCAGCTTTGACTTCCTGGGCTAAAGTGATCCTTCCACCTCAGCCTCCTGAGTAGCTGGGACCATAGGTGTGTGACACCACATGTGGCTAATTAAAAAAAATGTTTTTGTAGAGAAGGGGTCTCCCCATGTTGCCCAGGCTTCTGCTGTTTTTAAGTATCAAAATACTTGCCGACACAGTTTTTTTCAGATGGCAGTTGGCAGCTTTGTTCACCCTTCCTGAATTCTCTTTCCCTTTCTTTCCGTTTCCTCCAACCCCATCCCCTCACCATCCTCACTTCAAAAACACTCCAACCCTCTCGCTTATTATTTAGTATCTGCAACTCTACTGTTCTCTGCAATTCAAATCTGTAATTATTATATATTTCTCTTTATCCTCTAACCAATCTTAAGATCTGCTCAGTTGCCCATATAAAAATTACCACAAAGACTTTTCCTCATAACTGGAAATGACTTGCAATCCATTATAGGTCTTGAGATGTTCTCACCAATGGTCACAATATTTTAATATTGTGGCCCTTGGACATGTAACCTCAACGTTCAAATGATTAAAGATATAACCAATTTAAACTTACCCTTTTCATTTCTTGTTGCCAAATATAATTTCTTGAAGAAATTATACAAATTAAAATTCTCTACCAACTCTGTGTGGTCATTAATGTGGACTTTCTTTTCTCAAGCCCTTTCCTGGGCCTCTCCTTGGAAACAGTCATTCGGTCAGCTCAAACTGTGGGACACAACTCTTTCCATTTATAGGAGGCATTAATGATAGGATTGTTTTTAGGAAACAATAGGAAAGTTCTTAGGTCTTTGTCTAAGACCTAAGAACTTTGTATCTAAGACAATGTCCAATTTTCTGTATTAACCAAGAAAAATTTTTTTCTTGCTCAATTTGTGGAGGTTTTGATTTATATTTAATGCTGTGCCACCAGTCACATTTGGCTATTTAAATTTATTTTGGTTAAAATTAAAGTAAAAATTCAGTTCCTTAGTCACATTTCAAGTTCTCAACACTCACAAATGATGGGCTACTGACTACTATGCATGGTGGTACAGTCAAAGAATATTTCCATCCTCATAGAAAGTTTTTTTTTTTTTTTTTTTTTTTGAGACTGGGTCTCGCTTAGTCACCAGGCTGGAGTGCAGTGGCTTGATCTCGGCTCACGGCAACCTCCGCCTCCCAGGTTCAAGCAATTCTCTGGCCTCTCAGTCTCCCAAGTAGCTGCAACTACAGGCACGTACCACCATGCCTAGCTAATTTTTTTATTTTTAGTAGAGACATTTCACCATGTTGGCCAGGATGGTCTCGATCTCTTGACCTCGTGATCCGCCCGCCTTGGCCTCCCAAAGTGCTGGGATTACAAGCGTGAGCCACCACGTCCGGCCCTTATAGAAAGTTCTATAAAATAGTGCTAATATAGAGAACTAAACCCTATGAGGCAACATTGATAGTGCTTCATGGTTACAAAAGTGATAAGACTGAATCACAAAAGCTGATTCAGCTGATGTGACGGCAAGTATTCTTTCCTTTCTTCCATTTCTCCACCATGTTTAATTCCCCTGAAAGTGTGCACTTGGGTTGACAAGACAACCCAAAACAGGGTAGAACATTCAATATTTGGTTAAAGCTGTCCGAGTAGCTAGAATAGTTCCTCACGTAACTTTTAGTATAAATTATATGAACACAATTACCAAAAATTTTTTAAAAAGTGTTTTTATAATTACCCTTCTTTATATGGGAGCAAGGCTGTACTACTAGAACTCCTGGATATTTTCTTACACCTGATTACTGCCAATGATGGGTTTTGGCCTTTTACCAAGTACCATGACCCAGGTGCATAATCCTGAAACGGCCAATCTGAATATATTCTCATCCCCCTACATCTTGGCATTCCAGCCATCCATATATAAAACCAGCTAATAATACCAGGTTACCAGGAACCAGCTTTCAAATCTAAAAATGCTCTAATCACTTGCCAATAAGATGGTTTTGCTGAAGTGGAATTATCCCTGACAGCTGTTACCACTTTCTTCTTCTTGGATAATGAATTCTAAGGTAGGGTCACATCTTCTGCCCTACCTGGAATGTATCAAAACCTTTTCCATAGGAAGGAGAGGGCTACGACTGATGAGGGGCACAAAGAAGGACTTGCAGGGTATGGCAATATTTTATTTCTTGATCTGGGTAGTAGTTCCGCAAGTATTTCACGTCCCACTCTGAAAACTATAGAACATTGGAGAGGATCCTGGCCCATCCCTAATGAAGTCAAGAGGGAGGACACAGACGCCTAGAACTCTGGAAGTCCTGAGATAGAGGACCTCTGGAGGAGAGCTGCATGTCTCTGAAAAACTTATCAGCTATAGGAATGTTACCCAAAGGGAGCAGTTCTCTAACAGCTCTTAGGCACATTACTGCAGAGACAATATTACTAAAGATATTCGAGACCCCCCGCCACATAATTCACTGATGGTTTTGTTTTCTGTTTCTCATCATCTCCGTTTTCAAGTTTCTCTTCTTCTCACTCACCTATTTTATGAGACTTACCTCCTAATTACTCATATATGCACCTCTGCTTCACACTGGCAAGCCCACTGCTCTTGCCATTGCCAGCTCCAAAGCACAGCTGGCACTATAGATCTCATCGCACCCTCAAGAGCAGGGCTGGGGAGTCCACCTCTACGCCTGCCTCCCTAAGCAGAGCAGTTTTGTTTTTTGTTTTCAGAATCTGCTGGGCAGATGGTGGAGGATGTGGGCTTCTATGTACAGAAGTGATCAGCCCTACTCCACACTCCTTTATAGGCCAGCTGAAACTCTGGGCAGAACTATTCAATGGAAACCAGTAAGTTGGTGTTTTCTTAATGAAAATTAAAATGTTCCCAAGAATATTAATATTTTTAAGCATTCACTTTAAAAAAAGAAAAAAAGGATTGTCTCATAATTTTTCTCCCCTTCCTGAATGACTAGGGGCTTAAAATAATTCAGTGGAATTTACTGCTCATCTTTTATACTTACTCAGCTTAACTAATGTTTCAGTAAATTTTTCACAGTTGATTGCAACTCGGCATAATAGATGGATGAACTGATGATAAGAAAAGAAGTAGTCTAGCAGCATACGATCATAAACGTCATCTTTGCCCTGAAGGTTAAAGATGATAAAATGGTTGCACTTAAATTGTATAATAAAGAGCATATTTTGTGCAAATGTAATAAGTTTAACTAAAAAGCTGATTCAATATTTATATTCTATAAGAACCTAGTTTTAAAATCCAAATTTCTAGTAATGTTATGATCTTAATTGTCGTAAGTTTATTTTCAGTGTGCAAATGCTATGAATTAAAATTACCCATTATTTCTATATACTTTAATAAAGTAAAATTACTGTAGGATTTTAAAATGTGACACTTTAGCTCTACAGACATATCAAGAAAAATGAATTAAGTTTGACTTTTGAAATAGATTCCAAGTTATTCCTGTAATGTTAATTATTTTAAATATTTTATCTTATAAGAACTTCTCAAGTATACTGAAAATCCGAAGATGGCAAGCAAGGGAGAGTGTGAATGAAGTGTGGGTAAAGAAAGATAAAGGGAAAAATTGTTTTTAAAAAAGTTGAAACTAAGATAAATTATCCTGTATCAATGTACCTTGTCTCTATAATTTAGAATTGGCATTATTTTAGAATATGAGTTAGAAGAAAGGAACCAGACTAAAAATGATGACAAATCTATCAATCAATATTATGCTTAGGTCAAAGGAATATAATTTAAGGGAAGTAGAAGAAGTCATTGATTATATGGCCAAATTAAAAAAAAAAAAACAGTACCTAATGACTTTTCAAATTTAGATATATGACCCAGTTATAATTTAGCCTAGTGACAAATATTAAGACTTACTATTAAGGTAATTTTTGAGGGGGAAAAAAAACTTACTACTTGTGCTTATTGTTGATTTTTGCAAATGTTCAACCAACATTTCAGAGCACTAAAAGGAAAAAGTCCAAATGAATCTAATCTTCTTAGGATCCACAAAATTGGTCACTTAAGTCTAACCTATTCATAACTGCCAGGGGAAAAATTTCAAATTACTTTGTACTATAGCAACATGGATTTTCCTGGCATCCCAACATACCTTACTGGTTTCCACCATTGTGGGCAAGAGGCACATATTGAGTTCAGGGCGCGGAGGCCGAATATTGCTTTTCCCTCCTATTAGCTTGATATTTTCTCGACAAGGGAAATAAGGTCCAAGAGACACTAAGATATTAAAAGTGTACAGTAAGAATAAATGGAAAAAATAAATCTCCATGCTTCAGTGTGCAGAACGATTAAATGCGAACCATATTGAAGTACTGTGCTAGATAAATACGTACTTGGTATATTACTGTGATGGTAAGTACAATGGTTGTGTTGTAGAAAGGGAACCAGAGTATGAAGAAAATCATGGGGACTCAAAAGTACAAGTTCCTTGAGGACATCTGAAAATAAAAACAAAGTTTGGGTAGCAAAAAATTAAGAGTTATATCTGCCTACTACTTTCCATCTTACAAATCCTATGATTGCCTCACTACAACCAGTTTAATGAGTCTAAAACTAAGCTCCTGACACGAGTAGAAATTCTGTCTTATGCTCAATCAAGTTTAGATCAACAGAGTTATTAACGACAATAGGGCATCATTTGGAAACAAAAGATTAAAACACTATTTATTGGTATTTTGTTTTAAGTATGAGATATTTTCTGGCAACATACAGTGAGGGATTTTTTTTTGGTCTCCCAGGCTGGAGTGCAGTGGTGCAATCAGCTCACTACAGCCTTGAGCTCCTGGGTGCAAGTGATCCTCCTGCCTCAGGCTCCCAAGTAGCTGAAACTACCGGCATGCACCACCACACCCAGCTATTTTTTTTGTTTGTTTTTGTAGAGATGAGGTCTTGCTATGTTGCCCAGGCTGCTTTTGAATTCCTGGTCTCGAGCAATCCCCTCCTGCCTAGACCTCCCGAACTGCATGGATTACAGGCATGAGCCAGCCCAGATTATTTAATGTACGTTGATTATGTGTCTCATAAAATCAACCAAAACAGCTTAGAAAGAAAACTAAGGTTCAAAGTTCCTTTGCTTTGAGGGATAATCCTTAATCTACTTTTAATGTTTTACGATGCTGGCTGGACTGATTCTCAATCTCCAATCACACAGGAAGGAATAAATCTCACGATGACAGGCTATAGGCAGTTTCTGGTGATCATAGGTTACTGCTTGTGTGCCCTTCCCCTCTTGCTAGAGAAGTAATTGCACAGAACGTCAAGACGGACTGCTTATATATGACAGCCAGTTAGTTATCCATGCTATTTTGAGAAAGTGTAAAATAGTTACGGTCTCTCGAGAAGTTTCTAATGTAGTGAAAAAAAAATCACTATAAATTTATAATGGGTGTCTTTTAAAAGCCACAAATTAGCATTTTATTATAAATATGCAATCAATAAAAAGATGCAATACTCAGAGCCTAAGGACAGCTACTGAGAAGTATCTTTAGGCAAAAGAACTCACAGTGAAATAAGTACTCTTATCCTTTAGAATGTCAGTTCTACCTTGTAAACATTTATATGGTTCAACCTTGCTTACATAGGATAACAAGATTTTAGAGCTGGAGGAAGCTAGAGATGAACTAAGGTCGGGGAGACTGTATATATTAAGTAATCTGCCCATTATCATGTGGGTAATGTAATTATGAGCCAGTTAAGAAATTTTCTTTATTTTCTTAGGACCTGCTAGCTAGTGTGAGTTACACATAAAAAGCACAAGTATCTTTCAAACACTACAGGCTTAACATCACGGAAAAACTCACAACAATGTTCTTCCACTAGGTTTTTACACGGGTGAATTTTTCAAGTAACTTACCTATACAGGCATTTCTAAGTTCTGGAGGACTATAGGAATTAAGAAGAGTTAACAGTTTATGGGCAAATTCAATTCGCTCCTGCCACTGGATTAATGCTTGTTTCACATCTGCAAATATAAAAGCACATATAAATATGCCATCTGAGATCAAACTTCCTCACAAATGTTTTCTACTGTAAACTACAGAATGCTAATGCTAGAAATTCAGGTTAATTACAAAAACATCTTCAGTGAAAGCTAAGTCATTTTCATGAGATGATTACTACTAATGTTAAACCTGCTAGATTTCTTAAAGAACATATTTCATTGATAATATGTCCCACTTTCTAGGAATGTATATGAAGAAGTTCAGAGTTCACAGTATCTTATAGGGACATAAGACAGGTAGGTTTTATAGTCATCTCGCATGAAACTGCAAATGATCTAATCTAAGCCAAAGAAGTTTCCAGCTGGAGAATCTTTACAAAGTGCCCAGCTTGTTACTGTGTTTGGAAATGTTTTCCAATCTCTGAAATCTTGATACCTGCTTGCGTATTTTTCAGGCAGGTACAAAAACATAAAAGAGCCTTCCAGCTTTACATCAGGAGTTCATGACAAACATTTCCTGATGGTTAGCTAGCTTCAGCCTCATCTTCTGTGCATAAACTAGGATAAAAACAATTTCTCTGGGGCACATGATTTTAAAACCTTCTCTCTCTTTACTAGTAGCACGAACAAAACATAAGAAGTAGGAATGAGCAAACCTTTTCTCTGAAGATAAGGGCGTGTAGACTTCAAAACCGAAAGAAATATTGACAGAAGTTCTACTAAATCTCCAGTCACATGGCAAGCTGTAGCTTCGTGATACATCATGTGCAAAGTGTTGAAAGACTACAAATGATTTGAAAAAATTGAAAACTTAATTTCATTTTTGCTTACTGAGCCACAAAATGGTAGTACTCGTCCTCTACGATAGATGTTTTCAGACTCAGACTGTGTGTGCACATGTGTGCAAAGCAAACGTATTTGCTTTCTATCCTGAAGTTAAACTCTCATTAAGCTCTTTTAAACATTCCTCACCTTCAGAGCTCTGCTATTTTGTGTGTATATTCTAGTCTGAAGAAATAGTTTAATCACATTTTTTTAAAAAAGTACTTGCTCTAAGATTGTTAAGTCTTCAAAATTACAAAGCAGTAGGTCACAAAAGATTAGGGAGAATAGGCAACTGCTTTAACCAACTTTCCAGGGTCTCTGTCCAAAGACAATGGTAAAGTGACTGTCAGCCATACTCAAAAGAGTAGGCCTGAAAGAGGTAAAAAGAGCTGCAAAAGGTAGGAATTCATTTCCTTTATATTGGCTTGTTAAATCTTTTAATTCCTTTAACTGTATTAGCTTAATTAAGCCCTTAGTTTTTTTCCTATTTTACTATACAGCACCCTTCTTTGAATCCTCTTCCACCAGTTCACTACAGCTTACACACTGTAATACCCACAGTTCAAATGTTAAAATTCTTAGCCCAGAACCTGCAGCAGTACCTAATATGAACAATGTACTTGTACAGTATGTAACTTGTAAGCTGTGGGGACAGAAACCAGTATGTCTTGTTCACTGCTGTGTCCCTAGTACCTACCACAGTGCTTGGCACAGAGGTAGACATTTAAACATCTGTTGCATTAAAAAAAAATTTTTTTTTTCTAAAAATACAACCAAAGCAGCATAAACATCTGTTGCATTTTAAAGAATGAAATTCTTACTACTCCTCTTCACCTACCTTTTTTTTAATACTTAGCCTTCCTCAAACATAACCAATATTTCTTTGCCTCAGTGCTTATTGTCATTTATCTAAATGTTTTCCCCCTTACCTTTGCAAATCCACATTCTTCAAAGTGCAAACCTGTTCTCTTATTTTTTATTATCATTAACTGAAAAAACATCCTACCTGTGAATTCTTATGGTACTCTTGGCATGTTTATCAGACTAAAGGGCTCACGTACCTCTGGTGACTCTGCAGCCATCTCATACTTGTGGATGTTCAAGAATTATAGGAAGCATAAACAGCTGATTTTAACCCTGTAATAGTCCTTCTGGTTTCCTCTGAGGATGGTGTGAAAGGAAAATATCTTGGGCCCCTTCAAGCTGGGAACCGCTCAGGGCAAATCGGCCTCTCATACTATTCAAAGTCATCCCTCTGCTCACCCAGATAGATGCATATTCTGATTGCCTCCTTTGGAAAGACTTATCAGAAACTCAAAAGAACGCAACCATCTGTCTCTCACATACCTGTGACCAGGAAGGCCCCAGAGGAAGGAGAGGCCTTGCTTTGGGTTGTCTCTGCCTTTCTGGACAGAGCTAATGTACTTCCTACATACAGATTGATGTCTCATGTCTCCCTAAAATGTATAAAATCAAGCTGTGTCCCAACCACCTTGGGCACGTGCCATCAGGACTTCCTGAGGCTGTGTCACGGGCGCGTCCTCAACCTTGGCAAAATAAACTTTCTAAATTAACTGAGACCTGTCTCAGATTTTCCGGGTTCACAATGGTAACCTCAGTTTCTATACTGTCAAATAAGTAGGCTTTTGGGAAATTATGTGTGCCCTTAATGAAATCACATGTATTTCATTTTTGTCCCTACAAATGAATAAAACTAGTCTATTTCAAATGGCTGTTCTAAATACAAAATAATGGGAAAAGTATGGAATTACTATGGAAAAAGGAACAGCACCCTAAAAATTATGACCTAATTATTCTTGGGATATAAATTCAGGTTTACTGATCTATATAATTAAAACCTTGCCACCTGTAAAACAGTTTACCATAAACTCTAAATGTCTATAAAGTAAGTCTTGGTGAGAACATTAAAATGAGATAATATCCACAGTAAAATGCAATAGAATATTTACCTCTGTCATTAGAATCAATCCTCGATTAAATACAACAAGAAGTCTGTCTTCATCAGATTCTAATAGTATTCTGAAGGCACTAGAAGAAAACATAAAGTTCAGTTTGAGAAGTCTGAATAAGAACACAACACTTAGGTGATGAAAAAATAAAAAGAAATAAAATCATCATTTAAGCTCTCTGCTTTCCTACCTACAGAAAAGAGACTGCTTCATCTGTTTCCTGGAAATGCAGCATAAGGAAATAATATTAAATAAACTCTAACTAAAAAAAAGTCTATTAATATCTAATCAACTGCTAATTATCTACAATGGCAGAAGATATGGGAATATTTTTAAAGTTTCCACATAAACAATGTTGATTTTTATAATAGGCTCATCTTCTGATTGTTAAATTCTGGATAATCATAAAATTCACCATATTATCTAAACACTCATCAGCTGGTAATTAAAAAAGAGTAACATGAAGGAAAAAAATACTAAAAACGTGTCAGCCTTGAAAATAGTTTATAAAATACAGTCATGTGCCACAAAATGAAATTGTGGTAAATGATGGATCACAAACACAATGGTGGTCCCATAAGATTATAATGGAGCTGATAAATTCCTATTAGCCTAGTGACTTCATAGCCATGGTAACATTCACAATGCATTACCCACATGTCTCTGATGACGCTGGTATAAACAAACTTGTTGTACTGCCAGTCTTGTAAGTATACCACAATTATGTACAGTACCTAATACTTGATAATGTTAATAAATGACTATGTTACTGGTTTATGTATTTACTATATTATCATTATTTTACTACTTATTTCAAAAAAAGTTAAATGTAAAACAGCCTTAGACAGGCCCTACAGGAGGGATTCCAGAAGAAGGCATCATTGTCAGAGGAGATGACAGCTCTAAGCTAGTTACTGCCTCTGAAGACCTCCCAAGTGGGACAAGATGTGGAGGTGGGAGACAGAGATACTGATGATCCCAACCCTGCTAGGCCTAGCCTAATTGTGTGTGTTTATGTCTTAGTTTTTAACGAAAACATTTAAAAAGAAAAAAAATTTAAATATGAAAAGCTTATAAAGATATAAATACTTTTGTTCAGCTATAAAATGTGTGTTTTAAGTGTTATGATAGTGTGTTTTAAGTGCTACGATAGAAGAATCAAGAAGTTAAAAAAACTTATAAAGTAAAAAAAGTTCAGTACATTAATAATGAAGAAAAAGTATTTTAAAATAAATTTAGTGTAGCTTAAGTGTACAGTGTTTATAAAGTCTATAGTAGGGTACAATAATGTCCCAGGCCTTCACATTCCCTCACCACTCATTCACTGGCTTACCTAGGGCAATTTCCAGTCTTGCAAGCACCATTCATGGTAAGTGCCCTACACAAGTGTACCATTTTCTGTCTTTTATTCCATATTTTTACTGTACCTTTTCTATGTTTAAATACGTTTAGATACACAAATACTTACCTTTCTGTTATAATTGCCTACAGTATTCAGTGTAGTAACATGCTATACAGATTTAGAGCCTAGGAACAGTTGGCTATACCATATATCCTAGGGGTGTAGCAGGCGCTACTATCTAGTTGTGTGTGAGTAGTCACTCTGATGTTTGCACAATGATGAAATAGGCTAAAAATTTATTTCTCAGAATGTAACCCTGTTGTTATGCAACACATGACTATAATTACTCACACAGCTATATTACTGTTAACAGGTCTTCTTTCATTAGATACCAGAAAAATGTTGTTATAGACTACAACTGGAAATCCTTCTACTTTATTCCTTTCCTTTTTCAAGAAGAGTTAAGAAAGCTCCAAATCTTTTTTTTCTTTTTTTGAGACTCGCTCTGTCACCCAGGCTGGAGTACAATGGCACAATCATGGCTCACTGCAGCTTCCACCTTTTGGGCTCAAGGATCTTCCCACCTCAGCCCCCCGAGGAGCTGGGACTACAGGTGCATGCCGTCACACCCTAATTTATTTGCTAACTTATTTATTTATATAGAGATGGGGTTTTACTATGTTGCCCAGGCTGCTCTAAATCTTTTTTGAAATAAAGCTTTAAGTAGTAAACTTTGGGAAAACAATTGTATTCAAAATTAATCCAAAATTTAAAAACAATCCCTTTAAGAAATCCGGCAAAGGCGTAGTTAATTTCCCTGTTTACTAATGAAGACTCACATTTGAAAGCTTTCCAAAGAAGACAATCTGAAATAACCTCATCTTAGATTGAGTAGCTTAAGATATTACAGTGAAGTCTTCAGTAAAGTACCATTAAAAAAAATGTGCCTAATAAAAAACAACACTTCCAAGTCTTAGATGTAATACATAGAAGAATTTAAGAAATTAGCCTGAACTTTATTTCTCTAGGTTAAGGGGAATTAAGGGTAATTTGTAGTAGTTCCTGTAACCATTCAATAACTTCTGTAGCTCTGAAAATTAATTATAAAGACTATGTTTTATAATTTTGGCCAAGTCATATAGATCAGAAAGCCAGATAGATATATTTGGGCTAAACAGAATGCAAAATATTAACAGACTCATCCAAAGGTGCAGAAAACTTCCTGGAGGCCTCTAGAACTGAACTATCAAGCCTGAGTTAGGATAAATTGCCATAAACAAGACTATTCAAGCTTTGGGTAGAAGGCTATACATAAAGGTTCCCTTCAACCCTAAAATGATAAAACATACACAAATACAAACCAAAGCCAGACCAAAAACTGTTTAAAAGTAGTTCATGAACCTTCAAAATGTTCCAAAGTGGCTACATGCACAAATGCTTCCCCAATGTAAATGATTTATCTTTAAACATCAAAAGGATGGTCCTCATCTCACTGGAAATAAACAAGACAAAACTAAAAACATCTTTTTACCTTATTAAAGTAGTCCAGCAGGAGCGGCCATCTAAGCAACGTAAGTAACAACTTATGGTTGTTTTCTTGAACTGTTTAATATCTTCTAATTCTTCTTCTCTCATATCTGGCCTCTGAGCTATAAACAGCTGCATCAGGTTAAACAGTTCTTCTACTGCCTAAAAAAGCCAAATAAGCCATATGATCTTTTAACCCTATAGCATTTTAGAAGGTCAGTTTCTCATTTCTACGTTCATTAATCAACTCTTAAAATTATACAAATAAGCTAGATTATACTTCCATTCAGAAAGTTATAAAATCAGTAACAAATTCTATTTAAAAAATTTTGGCTGGGCGCAGTGGCTGATGCCTAGCACTTTGGGAGGCAGAGGCGGGCAGATTGCCTGAACTCAGGAGTTCGAGACCAGCCAGGGCAACATGATGAAACTCTGTCTCTACTAAAATACAAATAATAACAATAATAATAAACACTAAAAGAACTCAACAAATCTTAAAATACAAGTTTAGAAAGAGTAAAAACTGTAAGTGAATACAATTCATTTTTAGTCTTATTACTGCTTAAAGCACTACTTTTGTAACTTCAAATGTAAACCCAGAGGCATGCCACACCATCTCCTATCCACTTTTTCTTTAATTAATGAGAAATCATTACTTTGTCACAAAGATTTTAAATGCCTAAATAACCCTTAAATTAATAGTGTATATGAGGTAAACCTTTGTTCCAACATTTAAAATGCTTTTCTAGAATGATGCTCAGTTCAATTTCCTGATGAATAAAAAGTAAAAACAAATATTTTAGTAAAATCACTAGCTGTGATTTTATAGACTCATATGCACATGTCAGGAGAGGACTGCTCTTCTAACACATACTTGTCAATGAACTGAAACCCCCAGCTTCTTATTTTTCAAAGCAAAAAACTGACTTAAGTACCATTTTCATGAAAATTTCTAATAGATAAGGACATTCTACAATAAAAGACATTACATTTCACTGATGTCAAGGGCAATAAATAACATGGAGGGATAAATTCTAACTCATCTAGTACTTGTCAAAGTATATTTAATTCTGGACATCACATCTAGTAACTAGATCAAATATTATTTATGTGAATATGATAGAGACAAATTTACTGAAACTTAATAAATCCTATCCCGACCCCTTTGAAGTCAGAAAGATTGATATTTTGTATTCTTATGGCATTGGTTTTCAATTTCTTGGTACTTGTACACTCACTCTCTTTCCTGCATTGTAGGGATTCTGATTTTTTCTTTTGAGACAGAGTCTTGCTTTGTTGCCCAGGGTGCAGTACAATGTCTCAATGCAGCCTCAACCTCCTGGGCTCAAGCGATCCTCCCACCTCAGCCTCCCAAGCAGCTGCGACTATAGGTGCACACCACTACTCCCAGCTAATTTTGTATTTTTTGTAGAGATGGAGTTTTGCCATGTTGCCCAGGCTGGTCTTGAACTGCTGGGCTCGAGTGATCCGCCTCTGCCTCCAAAGTGCTGAAATTACAGGTGTGAGCCACTATGCCGGCCTGGGATTCTAATTTTCTCTGACTAGAAATTAGGTTATTCTTCCCAGGTGTGAGATTCTATACAACTCATTACACCATCTAGAAAAAAAAAGACCGTCTATAAAGGACGGTCTGTCTTTAAAGTACAGTTTACAACAGAGAATAAGAGGCAACAGTGAAAAGTTATTAACCAGGTTTGACAGCTTTACATCGAGGGGAGGAAACTTAATATAAAACCTACAAGTAAGTGTGCAGAGTAAAAGGGACCCAATTTAGACTGCATATATATGTATCTCGATTGATCTCTTAAGCATTTCATTTGTTTGGATGCAGCTTGAGAAAAAATACTGCGGAATACTACTAGTTTTAGATATAAAATTGTCTAGCTCACAGTTTACCACAGCATGTAGATTTTGCTAAGTATCTGATTTTTAAATAGCAAAGTACTCAATTCCTTAAAACTGTACCATGAAGCTGGCTTTTTTCATTAGGCACACATGAAGAATACATTTACAAAACCACAAATTAAAAAACAGGTAAGTTTTACTGGATATGCAACTTTAACTTCACCCTAAGAAAAGTTATCTACACAGTTATCAATTTTATAACAACACAGCATTTTATATATGTATTTAAGAAAACAAATACACATTAAGTTCTTAAGAAAGAATGGTGAGACTATTCTATATTCTGCCACCACTTCCCACCAGGGGAAAAACAGGTATTTCCAATCTATTTGAGGATACAGATAAAAGAGTATCAATTTTACTCACTCCAGGGTATTGGCTGGCATGTGGTGTAAGATTCTTAAAGGCCCACTGGATGTTCTGGTGAGAAGCCAGTTGTCGTGTGAATGCAGGAGACTGCTCACAGCAGAGCCTCAGAATGCCATAGTACGCTGGCAGCATCCCACGGTTAAAAAGCACCACATCCTGATCATCATGGTCAGCAAGGATGTAATTGAAGGCAATGTTCTTGGTTACCACTGGGTTCTGAACAATAAGGCGGATATTCTCTGGACAGTCAGCACAGACATTGTACCAAAATGAAAGCAAAGCCTGTTTATTGTGATTTGTAGCTATTGCTGGCTCAGAAAGTTTAGGCTGGAAAAGGTTCCACAAATCCATGAAATATGTGGAAAACATCAGCTTCTCAGTTTTGGAAATTAAACAGTAAGTCATAAAGCTAAAATAGGGCACTAGCTTTGTAGTGCCATGAACAGCAGCATCAACATAAAGTTTGGCTCTTGAGAGCAAACCAAGGAGCACGTTGTAGACCTGATGTAGGACTACTGTTGTGTCTGGACTGAGTGGAAGGTCACGGGTTGGGATGTGCAAAGACCTTGTTGACCGGAACATCTGACGGAATGAATTGCTTGGTATAAGGGACACCAGAAGATAAGCTGCAGCTATAAAATGTAAAACAAAACTGTCAGATCCTTGTAAGATATAAAATAGACTGAACAGCAGTCATTAATCACAAAGCCACTGTTCCCTTTAATAATTAAAATGAATAAAAAGGGACATGAACATCTCTTTTAGTATCTTTCTGCTTTCCCCTTGGCCCCACAAAAAGATCCCAAGAGGTGATAAAAATAGATACCTTCTATTCTGCCATTGTTATTTTTGAAGTGGCAATAATTTTTAAACCACTTTTCTTTAGCTTGCCTAAGATGCAGAATTTTCCCACTTTATCTTTTATTTCTTCTCAGGAAGTAGTATGATTTAACAGAGGGAACCCAGCATTTGCAGTCAGAAGACCTACCAAAAGGTACCTGAGGAGGTCAAATCATTCAATGTTCTACAGTCTTAGTTTTCTTCTTAATTGAAAAATAATGATAATTTACTTTGTAATAACATACAGATATGGTAAAATATACTTGTTATAAAGAAAGAAATAGATATACATAAAAGTTCAATATATAAGATTACATATATGCTAATTATAGAACATTAACTTTGGAAAATCTTTAAAAGTCTTCTAAGGCTAACCTTACACCAAAGGAAAGAACTGGGTGTTAAATTGTAACCAGATAATATATATTTAAGTTATAAAGAAAGAATGAGATATACATAAAAGTCCTATTTGATTACATATATGCTAATTACAGAACATTAACTTTGGAAAATCTTTAGAAGTCTTTTAAGGCTAAACTTACACCCAAGGAAAGAACTTGGTGTTAAACTTATTAAGCCTATGTTATAATGCTGAGGAGTTAGTGACTTATTAGTTGCGCTAACCTGTAAAAGCAGTTACTATCAACAAAGCATTGACCTAGGTGCTGTATAAACTTCTCATTTAATCCTCACAATGACCCTGGATGGAGGTAACAGTGCTCTGGAAAATCTGAATCTTGGAGAAGCAAAGACCAAGGTCACACAGATAAAGAGGTGGAGGCTAGATTTTGCCTTGAGAAACAATGATGATGATAATGATAATGGTAAAACAATAATAGTAATAACTATAATAAGAATTGTGAGCCTTTACCAAATGTATACTATTTGACGTCATAACTTTATGTGGCAGGCATTGCATTTATTATCCCCACTTTCACTCAGGCTTACAACAATGGGACTATCTCAGCTTACACAGCTAGTGGCCAGAGCTGGGATTCAAATCCAGCCAATCAGATTCACAGGCTAATAATGCTCCTAACATTCACTATGGAACCTCCTCAAGACTCTCTAATGTCTGAGTTTGGGTTCTTTTCAGGACAACCATTATTTGTCTCCCCCTATTCTAACTATAACTTGATAATTTCCATTGTATTGTCAAAGCAAACAAAGTTAGGGTTTCTAAAATTAATTTTAGTTTATTTTACAAATTTATTTCCAAATTAAACTTTGTGCACAATACTCCATTTTCTAGATATTTCTTTACCTATATACTAGTCTGCTTAGTCAGAATTTTTAAGGCTCAGTTTGTTATGTGTTTCAAATATAAAAACCTGGCATGTAGGTATCATCCTGATCAATTTTTGCATAAAACTTCAATCAAGAAAAGTAATTTACGATTTAAAAAAGCCATTTGGCGGCTGGGTGCGGTGGCTCATGCCTGTAATCCCAGCATTTTGGGAGGCCAAGGCGGGCGGATCACGAGGTCAGGAGCTCGAGATCATCCTGGCTAATATGGTGAAACCCCATCTCTACTAAAAATACAAAAAATTAGCCAGGCGTGGTGGTGAGCGCCTGTAGTCCCAGCTACTCGGGAGGCTGAGGCAGGAGAATGGTGTGAACCCGGGAGGCAGAGCTTGCAGTAAGCCGAGATTGCGCCACTGCACTCCAGCCTGGGTGACTGAGTGAGACTCCATCTCAAAAAACAACAAAAAACAAAAAACAAAAAAACCATTTGGCTGGGTACGGTGACTCATGCCTGTAATCCCAGCACTTTGAGAGGCCAAGGCGGGCAGATCATCTGAGGTCAGGAGTTCAAGACCAGCCTGGCCAACATGGTGAAACCCATCTCTACTAAGAATACAAAAATTAGCTGGGTGTGGTGGCGGGTGCCTGTAATCCCAGCTACTCAGGAGGCTGAGGCACAAGAATCACTTTAACTCTGGAGGTGGAGGCTGCAGTGAGCTGAGATTGCAGCACTACATCCCAGCCTGGGCGATGGGGCAAGACTCCATCTCAAAAAGAAAAAAAAAAAAAAAGTCATTTGGTGTGAGTTATATACTTTCACCTCAACATTTCTTTGAGTTATTTTTTTGGACACATAAGGTTGGAAAAGCTCTACTAAGACCACAGACCTACCACCGAGATTCTACAATTAACATTTCACTTTGCTTTATCACATACCTAACCACCTCTTCTTTTCCTATAAAAGCTACTTGCTTTTAAATAAAAAGGAAGTTCTGCTTCAGAAAAAAACACGACTTTTAAATTATGTTTTTCTTTAAGAACAGACAGGAAGGTTAATTTGGAAGAACAGGCCATCTTGCCATTTGGTTAACTGCCTTCCTATAACTTAAGAGTCCTGGATCTAGTTGTATGCTACAAAAAACATTAAGTCTACTTCCATGTCTATATGGCAACTCTAAGACACTAATGTCTCAATTTTTCTTTTCTCTATATTAAAAGTTCTCATTTATTTTGTTGTATTTAGGAGTATTCCTATGAAGCTTTTCTTTTATACATGTTATTTTAATTCTTATTCTAAGTTATACTAATTCTATTCAAATATTTGGACTCTTATCAAGTTACAGCAAAAGCACTTTTTCATATTACTACATAGTCTTCACTACTGTAATTTTAACATGATGCATTATAACAATGTTTCCCAACTGAAGAGTTTAAAATTTTTCACTACTAAAAATCATGCTGTTGGGCATCCATATACTTACACTAGAATCGCTAAAACAGTATTACTGACATTAAAAGGGCAAACCAGCAGGGCACAGTGGCTCACGCCTATAATCCAGCACTTTGGGAGGCCGAGGTGGGTGGATCACGAGGTCAGGAGTTTGAGACCAGCCTGACCAATACGGTGAAACCCCGTCTCTACTAAAAATACAAAAAAATTAGCCAGGCATGGTGGTGGGTGCCTGTAATCCCAGCTACTCAGGAGGCTGAGACAGGAGAACTGCTTGAACCCGGGAGGCGGAGGTTGCAGTGAGCCGAGATCACGCCACTACACTCCAGCCTGGGCCACAGAGCAAGACTCCATCTCGAAAGAAAATAAATAAATAAGAAAATAAAAATAAATAAATAAAAGGATATATAATTTTTAAGAATCTTGGTAAAGATCTGTTAAACTGCCTTTCATAAGAATAATATTAAACAATGCCACTGCAATGTACAAGAATGCCATTTCCTCAGCACTGTCATCAGTATTAGGCATAATAGCTGGCTGAAAAACCTTTTTGGGGGTTCAGCATAGTTTTTTTTTTTTGTTGGTTTTACGGTCAGGGGTCAAGACATGAATGCCAACTGGCACACATCTCTTTGTTAAGAGCGCACAGCTCTCACATAGCTCTTGGCTGTGTGCTCTTACAAAGATCCTATTATGGTGGGGTTAACTAAACTTCCAGGAAAAAAAAAAAAAAAAAAAGGCCCATGGGCAGAGTGCCCATGCCAATCCATGTGTTCACGCCACTGAAAGGTGCTTCTCACAAATAAACCTTTTATTTTAGAATAAGCAGAACAATTTCAATACACCTCCCTCACCTAGTTTCCCCCACAGTTAACACTATTATGATGGTACATTTGTTGTGACTAAGGAAGCAACACAGGTACATTACTACTAACCAAACTCTCCACTTTAGATTTCACTTGTTTTGCCCTAATGTCCTTTTTTTTCCTTCCAGGATCCCATCTAGTATACATTACAGCTAGTCATTATGTCTTCTTAACTTCCTCTTGGCTGTGACAGTTTCTTAGATTTTCCTTGTTTCTAATGACCTTTACAGTTTCAAGGAATACTGGTCGGGTATTTCATAGAATGTCCCTCAATCTGAGTTTGTCTGATGTGTGTCATGGTTAGATTCAGGTTATAGGTTTTTGGAAGGAAGACCACAAGAGATGAAGTGCCCTTTGCCATCACGCCATATCAAGGGTACACACTATCAACCTCATTGATTACCAATGATGTTAATTAACCTTTATCACCCGGCTGAGTTGTACTGTAAAGTTTCTTCACTGTAAAGTTACTTCCTCCACACCCCATTCCTTGGAAGAAAGTCACTAAGCTCATACTCAATGAGTGAGGAATTAAGCTCCACCTCCTGGGGAGATGTGTACATATATTATATGGAATTCTTTTGTATGGGAGATTTGTTTACTCTCCATTTATTTATTCAATCATTTATTTCTACTAAGTATGGACTCATGAATATTTATTTTATCCTTGGGGTTATAATCCAGTGCTATGTTATTTTGTTACTCAAACTGTTCTGGCTTTGGCCATTGGGAGTTCTTTCAGGTTAGCTCTGTGTTTCTCTGACATACACCCACCATTTTGATTTTTGAGTACTTTCACTTTCTGACACTATAGGATATTCCACACACATCTTGTATATTCCCTGTCCCAGCCCTAAAATCAGTGATTTCTCCTAGGAGCCATGAATTCTTTTACTGGAGAATGGTGTTCTGAATCCAACATCTGGGCCAGGTGCGGTGGCTCACACCTGTAATCCCAACACTTTGGGAGGCAGAGGTGGGCGGATCACTTGAGGTCAGGAGATCAAGACCAGCCTGGTCAACACGGTAAAACCCTGTCTCTACTAAAAATACAAAAATTAGCTGAGTGTGGTGGCGTGCACCTGTTATCTGAGCTACTCAGGAGGCTGAGGTGAAAGAATCAGTTGAATTCAACAGGCAGAGGTTGCAGTGTGCTGAGACTGCACCACTGCACTCCAGCCTGAGCAACAGAGTGAGACTCTGTCTCAAAAAAAAAAAAAAAAAATTCAACATCTGGATACCAGACATGTTTATTGCTACTTAAGTATCAATGACTGTAGGGCCTTCTCAGCAAATAGATAGAAAATGTTTATAATAAGAAATTTAAAAATTAAATTTTCATTTTTTTGAACTATCAAAATAACATTTTCTATGTTTATTTCCAAGCAACTTTCTATTTTGTGAAATATTTTTGATATGTGTCTACCTGTCTAAGATCTTTTTTACTGGCTTGTGTACAACTTAAAGTGTTTATATAACTCATAATTTCAGCCAATATTTTCTCTCAGCTTATGTCTTTATTACCATTTTATCCTTAACCTTCTCAAAAGTTACTTTTAAGACAGGATTTTCAAACCTTTTTATTCCCTTCATTACTGCTGATCATGCCTTATCACTCTTATCAAGCAAGGAAACAAAAATGATAGTAGTGATGATGTTACCCAAGAAATAACATGGTTTCCTATCCTAAAAAAAAAAAAAAAAAAAAAAAAAAAAAAAGGAAATAACATCTCCAAGAATTTCGTAGTATACAACAATGGGCATGTCGTAGTTGCCTAAAAACAAAATGAAACATAACTTTGAACAATAAATAAATGGTTTATGAAATTCTAAATATTTGACTTACAAGTCCTCACTCTAGGATAATTGTGAGCCAAAAGAAACCGCTCGACCCAGTTTTCCATATTCTGTAAGACCCAGCTGTGTGCCAGTTTATTTCGGGGTGTCTGCACTGCCAACCAATCTAGACACTGAGAAGGATTGTATTCAATCACCTACAAATAACATGACAAGAACAGAATATAAGGCCAACTGAATGAGCAATTACTTTTACTTACTTTTTGTATATGCTATTAGACACAAAGCTAAAGTACTTTTTTGACAATTAGAGATTAAAAAGGTTTCACCCTATTTTTTTCCCATTTTTAAAGCTACTTTTACTTTTATCAACAGGAAGTGTTCAGAAAAATATGTCACTGGTTTACAAAATGAATTTAAAATAACCAAGTACCATAAGACAAATATGAGAACTCCATAACTTCTAGGTCTTGCTAAATTTGGAAATTTATTTAAAAGTATTTTTATTTCTCTAAGGTTTCTCATCTTTACTTTTCTGATTACATGCCCAACCTGGTACTAAGTGAGAATACAAGAAGCTCGCTGTACTGCTGTGGAGAGTTTCTTCATGAGAAAGGGGAATCCTAGGAATCTAGAGTGGGGGTTGGCAAACTATGGCCAGCAGGTCAAATTCTGTGGCTGCCCGTTTTTGTTGTTTTATTGAAACACACCCATAACCCACTCATTTCTTGTCCATGATTGCTCATATGCTACCACAGCAAAGTTGAGTAGTTTCAACAGACACTGTATGCCACACAAAGTCTAAAATATTTGCTCTCTGACCCTTTTGGGAGAAGATTTGCTGTCCCCTGGTCTTGAGCTTTTCCAATACTCAAACAAGGAGAAATTTTGTGACCTCAGCAGTAACTCTGGAAGCAAAAAGGTGGCTGGTGCTTCCTCTACCATTTCTGTCAATTCTTGAAAACACTTGGTTTGTATTTCTAGGACTTCTAGTTGCTTTATGGAACTTTGGAGGGTAGGGGAATGAAAACTTCAAATTGGCTAAAGCTGTTTATGATGCTACAAGAATGTCTTTAATACAACTAGGAGACTAGCTAGGAACTCTTTTCCTCCCCAAACCTGTGACTTACTAAAACCATCTTGGGGTAATAAGAAACTGGTACTTAAAATGGTAGTGACTATATTATAAAAATAAAATCCTCAGGAAAATAAACATTGAAAACACCTGCTGCAAGACTTACCTCCCATATCCTCTGCAGAATATAAGATGCAAAGGGAGGCATTCCTGGAGGTCCACCAGCAAACTCCATTAGCATAGTCAACAACTTAAAGAAAGGATTGGCTGCCTGTAAAACACATACATGACTGTGTATTTAGATCAATCTGAACCCATCTCCTTCAGCAGAGAAGAAACATATATTCTACTACACACTATATTTAAATCTGTGTTAGGGAAGGAGAGCTCAGCCAGTACTTCTGCATGTGAACCTGAACTACCATAAAGCAGCAGGATCAGCGAGGGGTACAAAGTCAACCGGGAACCACGTATGATAGATTTTTCTGGATGTCAAGAGTATTTTGGAAAAGATAATTATAAAAATATTCTCTAAATTGACAAACACTGTAAATACTTACGATGTACAACGTTTTGAAATATGTATACATTGTAGAATGGCGAAATCAAGCTAATCACATATGCATTACCTCACACACTTATTTTTTGTCAGAACACTTAAAATCTACTCAATGATTTTCAAGTATAATTAACTGTAGTCGCTACATTGCACAACAGATCTCTGGAACTTATTCATGAAGATTTGTATCCTTTAAGCAACATGTCCCCAACCCCAAAAATAAATTGTTAATGAGACAACTGTGTTCTATTGAAAAATTTAGATTAAAAGCTTCCTATAGCAACCTGAGGGGTAATTTATAGTAATGTTTGACATCGATTGTTAAAATAGCTATAGCATTTCCATTTTACAAAAATACTTTTATATAACACTGCATTCTATTTTCTATATACTTTTACACACATGCTGAGTCCTGGTTGCTCTACTTTTTCTTTGGGCACAATTAGGATATATGTTCCCAATCAAACAACTTTAAAGCCTGGCATCCAGGTGGCACTCTGATACAATGAGTCTATACACATATTTACATTTAGTTGGGAAAATTATATTCGTAATAAGACATGATTAGTAGTTCATTTTATTCACATTATACACTTAAAAATAGGTTATTATGTTATGGGAGAAACCCTGATAAATTTGTTCTCGAGAACAATTAGGCTCATTTGAAAGCATTAGCAGTGCTGAAAATTGTTTTAAAAACATAAATTAACAAATGTTTACATACCTCAGGAGTCAACTTTGCTATTGATGTGAAAAGCATAGATACAATCTAAAACAGAAAGAGGAGGATTTCAGGATATTCTTGTTTTGTTTTGTTTTTGAGACAGGGTTTCGCTATGTCACCCAGGCTGGGATGCAGTGGCGAGATCACAGCTCACTGCAGCCTCCACTTCTCAGGCTCAAGCGATCCTCCTGCCTCAGCCTCCGAGTGGCTGGGACTACAGGCATGTGCCACTACACCCGGCTAGATTTTTCTATTTTGTGTAGAGACGGGTTCTCACTATGTTGCCTAGGCTGGTCTCAAACTCCTAGGCTCAAGCGATCCTCCCGCCTTGGCCTCCCAAAGTGCTGGGATTACAGGCATGAGCCACCGCACTCGGCCAGATTTCAGGGTATTCTTTTTTAAAATTTCCAAAAATCTTTAAGACTGTTCCTTAGCACTTACATGTTCTGCAAGTCGATTATTGTATCGACACAGGCTGAAAATCAGATTACAAGTTTGTCTTATATTGATGCCATCACGAATATGTTGAAACAAGAAGGGAAATCCCTGTCAAAAGCAAAAGTTGTTCATTTAAGAACCGTTATTATTTTTGTGATGATCAAATTGTCTAATATTAGAGAATGTACTACCTTTCCTCCTGTTAATGCTGCCATGTCAGTCTGTGATAATGTCAAATGCCTGAAAGAAAATATTAGTGGAAATAAGTTTTTCTTCCTTCTGTATTACTTTACAGCGATTTACAACATGTATCAAAAATTGTTGATTCAATTATAATTGTATTAACCTGCCATCATAAAATGATTTTTTGCTAGCTACATTTGCTTGCTAAATGTCTTTTGGGCAACTTTTCAACATTCCAGGATTGGTAAATGAAAGCCCAAATGTACTTCATTTTCATTTAATTAACTTACTATTTTAGTATATAAAACAGTAGGATGGGTCTTATTTTACTTACTTTTTTTTTTTTTTGACATGAGACCCTTCAAAACCAAATGGACTTCTAGAAATTAGCATTTCATCTCCCAGTTTAAAATTACTGTATATTTCTTCCTTTTTTTCTTTCCTTCTTTTTAGAGATGGAGTCTACTTCTGTTGCCCAGGCGGGAATGCAGTGATGTGATCGCAGCTCACTGCAGCCTTGAATTACTAGGCTCAGGGGATCCTTCTATGTAACCAGGATTCAGGCACAAGCCACTACACCTAGATTGCATATTTCTTTTATAACTTATAAAAATTTCAGCTATATTAAAAAACAGAATAGTACAAGTATTCCATCAGTCAGCTTCAAATTTACCAAAATCAGAGCCAGTCTTGTTTCATTTGAACCCCCATCCACTCAATATGAATTATTCTGAAGCAAATTCCAGGCATTTTATCATTTAATCCATAAATCATAGTATCTTTAACAGATAGGTTTCAAAAACAACCACGGTACCATTATTCATGCCTAAATGAATAATTCCGCACTGTCATACAATATCCAGCGTACACATTTCCTGAAGTTTCTAAAAAGATTTTTAAAATTAACTTGTTTGAATCAGGATTCAAATAAAGCCTTTTGCCATAATTAGTTGAAAAGTCTCTTAAATATTTTAATCTATTGGTTTCCCCACCAGCTTTGTGTTTGCAATTTATCTGTTGAAGGTCATTTGTCCTGTAGTTTCTCTCACATTTACACTTTGCTGATTGTATCCTTATGGTGCTGTCTTAACATGTTTCTCTGTCCCTGCATTTTCTATAAACTGGTAGTCAGATCCAGACTTGATGAGATCTAGGTTTGACTTTTTAATTAACAGTATCTTGTAGAAGGCACACAATGAAGGGTTAGTCTTTTTGTAAGGTTTTCTGTCAGTGGTGACAACTGCCTAGATCCATCATTTCATCTGGGATTCCAAAACAGTGATATTCTAATTCCAATTGTCCTTGCTCATTAATTAGCTTGAATACATATAAGAACACAAACTTCCCCTCAATCACCATTTGGTTGCCACGAAGTATACTTGCAAGTAGAATAAATGCTTGATACTGTTTTCCATTATTTATCAGTTTCAAAAATAATGATTTGATTTCCTAATATACTCCAAAAGTTGCAAGTAAACTAAAAAAAAATTTCTTTTTAGGTATTATGAACTCATGGATTTAAACATCTTTGATGTGATTCACAGTCCACTGCAGTTATTACCGATGCTCAAAGCTGTTCAATCTATGACCAGTAGAAACCTCCGTAAGTTGGCTCTTGAGTTTCTTTACCATGACCTCAGTAGTCTTAGACTGCCTCCTTGCTTTCCAAAATGACAAGACATTCCAAACTTCTCATTCATTTCTTTCCCAAGAACTGTAACTAGTCGTTTTTCCAAGGAACCCCAATTCTTTCAGTGGGAAATGAAACCTAGAGACTATACCCTAGATGCCAAGGGTACTCATTGATTCTGGGTTGTACAGGGTTTCCAGGTCTTTTCAGAAAACAGTGGTAGGTAAAACATTTTCTGTAACAGATTTTCTGTAACAGATTTTCTGTTTGCAAATATACCATAAACTGCTACAGATATTTCCAATTCAAATTTAGTTTTAAATAAGTTATGCAAAACCCTACAATTTAATATTTTTATCTTTCTTTTGCTGAAAATCTTGGTTTCCAATGACATTAACAGTTACTTATTTGTTTCATCCTGTAATATACATTAATACTTTCAGAATAATACTTTTATTACAAATAATATAATTACTATTACAGTTTAGGAAAATTTTACAATTCTTTTTGTCCTTCATATACATCCCACTAGAAATTTACCTATTTAATATATAGTTAGGTTCATTTACTTCACTGTGCTTTTGATTTTTAGAGATTACTTCTTATTCATTTATTTATAATTATACATTTATATGATACCAAAGTTAAATTTGTCAAAAATCCATTCCTGTCCCCTCCACCCTGTTTTTATTCCTCTATCCACTGGAAACCATTAAAAAAAAAAGTTTTTGATTTATAGTCAATTCTTGTATTTGAGGTAGTTGTGTTCTATAAAGTGTGGCAAATACTGAATTAGCAAATACCAAATTATTACTACTAGGGCAAATACACGATTAAGTTTCTGTGAGCCTCTGGTAATATTTTTGTCAACCAATCGATACATTTACTTTGTTTTATGAGTGTTTCTGTTAAAGATACCTTATTTAGTATATATTGTTGATTCATTAACGTTTAACTCACTGCCAATAGTATTAAAACTCATATGAATGAAATGTGTCTAACACGTATTTTCCCTATAAGTCATATCATGGCCTTCTTGAGCTTAAGAACACTAGAGAGCACTTCAGCACTACACTTGAGGGCCATTTTATTTACTTATTTTTACAGATGGATCTTGCTATATTGCCCAAACTGGACTGTAATGGCTATTCACAGGTGCCAAAGTAGCATACTGCAGACTCAAACTCCTGGCCTCAAGCCATCCACCTCATCCTCCCAAGTAGTTGGGACTACAGGCGTGTGCCACCACACCTGGCTGAGGGCCATTTTAAACAGCAAAATCACGAACAAAACATATAAATATACAAAAAATTTTCACAGCATACACCGTGAAAAGTACATTTGTTTACAATATGGAAACTGAAACAAAAAGGCAAATTGTTGCCTTGTTTGACCTTACCTGGAAAGGCATGTCAGGCAACTCAAGTTTTTTGCCACTCTGCATATGCACACGTCTGTGAATGACTGCAAAAGCTCCCCGAGTGCCACTTTTGGCATTACAAATGCATTTTAGCAAATGGGTGAATTTGCAAATAGGAAATCCACAAATAATGAGGTTTGGTTGTACATACACATACACACACACACATACACACTCTCTCTCTCTGTCATCATAGCATTCCCTTAAAAAGTAGGATATCATATACACTTTTTCCCACCTTTTTTTACTTAGTAATAGATCCTAAAGATTTCTCTGTGGTAGTACAGATAAATTCCATACTTCCTTTTTCAGCTATATTCTTTTGAATGGATGCTGTTTTTTCAACTAGTTCCCTTTTGATGGACATTCAGCTGATTCTAGTCTTTTGCTATCAGAAGCATGGTTTCAATAAACAGATTTGCATATACATCTTTCTGTATTTTGGACACAGATTCCTAGAAATGAAGTTGCTAGGTTAAAGAACGAATGCACGCTCTATTTTGCTAGATATTTTACTGTATATTTTTTCAATGACTATTTCTAACACGACTCATAGATGAAGTAAAAGTTTGGTAGAAAAAACTGAAATTCTTATGCCACAAGAGTTGATGAATAGTAGTATTATTTAAAAGGATTTATATAATAAAAGCTAGTGAATAACAATTACATAATTAAACATATATAATAAAAAGCTAGTGGAAAAACTAGTGGTAAACAATTATGTAAAAATAATAAAACCAAACATGCTTTAAACATTTTAAATTCGAAACATTTCACCTTTCTGATCGAGACTGTTCAACCAAAAGAGCAACTAAAGCTATCATCTTTTCAAGGGCAGCTGGCCTGTATTTTTCTTCTGCCAGAGAGAGGATATCTTCTTCCTCCTCTTCTTCTTCCCCTTCTTCCTCTGATAACACTTCAACTTGAGGCTAAGTTGGAATAAAATTCAATTTTAATACGGTAGTAGTTTTAATATCATTTTGAGAACAAATGACTTGTTTTATGTAACAGTGTAGATGGTGGCAGGAGCTTGTAACATGAAAAACAACTGCACAAAGACCTAAACCTAATGTAAAACACTCTAAACCACATTCAGGACAATCTTAGATTAAACTGCCAGAACTGTAAAGAATAACAATTCTCTGCCGGGCATGGTGGCTCACGTAATCCCAGCATTTTGGAAGGCTGAGGCGGGTGGATCATTTGAGGTCAGGAGTTCGAGAACAGCCTGGCCGACATGGTGAAACTCCGTTTCTACTAAAAATACAAAAATTAGCCAGGCGTGGTGGCACGCGCTTGTAATCCCTGCTACTCGGGAGGCTGAGGCAGGAAAATCGCCTGAACCTGGGAGGTGGGGGTTACAGTGAGCTGAGATAGCACCACTGCACTCCAGCCTGGGAGACAGAGTGAGACTCTGTCTCAAAAACAAACAAACAAACAAACAAACAAAAAAAAAACAAAAAACCTCAACACTGACTACTTACCTTACCTATAAACCCTTGAATAACTTTTTTCTTATAAGCAAGCTCATTGGAAGACAAGTCACGATAAAAATTGCAAGTATGATAAAATAGTATTTCCTATTTAATAAAAATGCCAGTTATACAAAATAAGAAATTCTTATTTATAGTTCCCTGATAATCCAAATAGTGGGTATTTCAAAGAGATATTCACTTGGGCTTCTAAATGCAGACTCAAAAGATTTTATGATCTACTAGTGTATATTCTGTGAAGCATTACAAAACAGTGTTTAAGAGTTTTAGCTCAGTAGTCTGACCGAGGATCAAAGCACAACAAGTCACTGTGATCTAAAACAAATTAACTTCTCTAAGTTTCAATTGTCTCATCTGTTAAATGGAGATATAAAGGGTACTTATCTCTTATGGTTAAGAAAAGGACTGAAAAAGAGTGCAAGTAGATCATACAACCTAATGCATTTGTTATGAACAACACAAAACTGATGTAATACTTTAATATTATTCATAGACCACCTACTTAAATTTTGGAAAGACTCTCATAAACTTAATAGCAAAGAACTTAAAAATGTGACCAGCAAAATGTTCACAAAAACAATTCACTATTGATAAGACCCTAAAGTAGGTGACCACTTTGCCTAAGTTTATTTGCTTTGTTCCAGACCTTACCAATGAATGAACTTCATTACCTAGTTGTTTCTTTCTTGCTATATCCATTAAAATTACATTAAAAACATCAACCAATCTTAGACCCTTCATATTATCTAACACCAGGTTCCAGAAGGGACTTTAAAGGGTTCTAACATCTCAGGACTTCGCACGATGCAAACTATGAAAACCAGAGCCTCTAATACCTAATGTACGATAGAACTGTACTTACATTTTCAGGTCCTTTTGTTCCCATGTAAAAATGTACCATTGTAGATATAGCTTGCAATGAAAGCAAAAATTGGCTCTAAACAAACAAACAAACAAAATTTAAAAATATAAAATAAAAGCAATTAAGTTGCAAATACTGAAAAAAGGTAGATAATCAAAAAAATAGACAAGATATAGCCTCACCTCTTCTTCACCCATTTTTGCAAATTCGTAAAGGAAGGCAAAATACTCTGTAAGATGTTTACTGTGAGGTTTTACACCATGTTCCATAATTAATAACAGGGTTCTCACAAAGCGAGTGACACATGAACGACCACCAATATCTTCTACTGAGGTATCCATATCATCTGACCTAAGAGACAATTAAATAGATCTTAGAGAATGTATGAGGTCTGGAAATACTGTTCGAGAGAAAAAGTACTTTTTAAACTCTGAATTTCTTTTATCTTTGAGATAATGAATATGAACCGCAATAACTTAAGTAGTTATTGTGACTGGCTAAATCAATGCAAACAAAAAGACTAAGCCATAAAGTAATTTGTAGAGGATTTTGCAGATGCAAAATTTAAATAAAACAAAAACAGTTTTACCTTCTTGAATGTATTATTACAGATTATTTTTTAAACAGAACAAATATTTCAGTGTGGATTTTAAAAAATATTTTGTAGGCAGGTTGTTAAGAAACTTAAAAATTAGGGCTAAGCATGGTGGTTCATGCCTGTAATCCTAGCAATTTGGGAGGCCGAGGCGGGCGGATCATTTGAACTTACGAGTTTGAGACCAGCCTGGGCAACATGAAGAAACCCTATCTCTTAAAAAAAAAAAAAAAAAACAAAAAAAAAAAACAAAAACACCACACACACACAACACAGACACACAAACTTATTCAAAAAGTACTTCTTACCCATCTTCCATTCCTGGCTGCAAATAGAGATGAGCATGCACAGGTCTCAGCCTCTGAATCACATGGATACACAAACGCTGAAACATCTGTGAAGAAAGAAAAAGATCAAACAAGAGCCAACTCATCAGGTAACAAAGATTTGAAAAATTAACATGATTCAAAATTCTCTGCCACCCATTTATAGTTTGCACAAGATTATCTTGGTATTCTGGAGCTCTTCTGGAGTCTCAACAATGGACTAAGGAAATGAGGCAAAGGTAGCATTAAAAAAATTCAGTTTTATGATAAAGAGAAAAAACTCAACAAACTGTACATTTCAGTAATACAGATGATCAAAAACAAAGCTTCAAAAAATCCTTTTAGCTAGTGGAGATACAGAGAAAAGAAAATCTAGTATCCAATTCCTTAAGAAGAGTGGAATGGGGAAGGGCCGCTGCTCATCATGGGGTCAGCAGCTAGGAGAAGGAAATGTGAGGATTCTTTAAAGATACACAAGTGACCCACAATCACATGAAAAAAATGTGTAACCATTTTGAGAAAAATGCATACCAAAACCACAATAAGATACCACTTCATACCTTCTAGGATGGCTAAAATAAAAGACAGTATCAGCTGCTGAAGATTATGGTGAAATTAGAACACTTATATATCACTGGCAAGAATGTCAAACACTGCAGTCACTATAAAAAAACAGTTTACCAGCTGGGTGCAGTGGCTCAAGCCTATAATCCCAGCACTTTGGGAGGCTGTGGTGGATCACCTGAGGTCAGGAGTTCGAGACCAGCCTAGCCAACATGGCAAAACCCCACTTCTACTAAAAATACAAAAATTAGCCGGGCGTGGTGGTGGGCACCTGTAATCTCAGCTAAGGAAGCTGAGGCAGGGAGAACTGTGTGAAGCCGGGAGGTGGCGGTTGCAGTGAGACGTGATCACGCCATTGCACTCCAGCCTGGTTGACAGAGTGAGACTCCAACTCAAAAACAACACCAACCAACCAACCAAACAAAAAACACCAGTTTACCGCTGGTGCAGTGGCTGTAGTAACAGCACACTGGGAGGCCAAGGCGGGCAAATCACCTGAGGTGAGGAGTTTGAGACCAGCCTGGCCAAAATGGTGAAATCCCGTCTCTACTAAAAATACAAAAAATTAGCTGGGCACGGTGGTGCGCGCCTGTAATCCCAGCTACTTGGAAAGCTGAGGCAGGAGAATCACTTGAACCCTGGAGGCGGAAGTTGCAGTGAGCCAAGACCACGGCACTGCACTCTAGCCTGGGCCACAAGAGCGAAACTCCGTCTCAAAAAAAAAAAAAACAAAACACAAAAACAAAAAACAGTTTACCAGTTCTAAAAACATACACAAAGAAGTGACAAAGTATATCCAAACAAAAACTTGTACTAAAAGTTCCTAACAGCATTACTAAAAACAGCCAAAAAGTAGAAACATCTCAAATATTCAGCTGATGAACAGGTAACACAAAATGTGGACTATATACATTTGACAAACTATTTGGCAAAAAAAGAAAATGTAATATGGATACATGCTGTGACATGAATAAATCCTGAAAAGATTGTTAAATCGAAGCAGTAAGTCACAAAAGACTAATAGTGTATGAGTCCATTTATATGAAATGGTCAAAATAGGCAAATCTATAAAGATAGAAAGTAGACTAGTAGTTGTCAGGTATTGAGGAGAGAGGACAGGATGAAATAGGAACTGATTGCTAATGGGTATAGGGTTTTTTTTTGGTGGGGGGTGGGGGTGGCAAATGTTCCAAAATTAGGTAGTAGTGATGGCTGCACAACTTTGTGACTATACTAAAAACCACTAAATTTTACATTTTGAAAGGTCTGGGTAAATTTTATGGTATAAGAATTGTAACTTAGGCCAGGCTCAGTGGCTCACAACTATAATCCCAGAACTCTGGGAGGCTAAGTTGGGAGGACTGCCTGATCCCAGGAATTTGAGACCAGCCTAGGCAACAGGGGAGAGACACTCTCTCTACAAAAAAATACAAAAATTAGCCAGGTGTGGTGGTGTGTGCTTGTAGTTCCAGCTACTCAGGAGGCTGAGGTGGGAGAATTGCTTGAGCCCAGGAGGTGGAAGCTGCAGTGAGCCATGAAGTACCACCGCACTACAGCCAGGGTGACAGAACAAGACTCTGTCTAAAAACAAAACAAAACAAAATTACCAGGTGTGGTGGTGTGTGCGTGTAGTCCTACCTGCTGAGGCAAGAGGACTGCTTGTGACAGAGCAAAACCCTCTAAAAAAATATATATACATATATATGTATGTTCTATATAAATTTATAAATATATAAATATGATATATAACATATATATGTAATATATACACACACGCATATATATCTCAATAGTAACTGGAAAGTGGCATACGTCAACTAAGTTTTTGATTTTGTGAAAAGTGACTATAAAGTAATATTTAAATTTCATTGTCTATTTTACCCAACAATTTAAAGAAAACAAACTGTTTCGTTTGACAGTTCAGACCCAATCACAGAAATAAGTTACAGCCTTTTCATTAGCTTTTGAGGTCACTATAGTACCCTACCATGGTTAGAATGTGTAAGGATTTTAAAAGAATCAGTATAACTCATAAAGCATCTAATAATAAAGAGCAGGATCTAATAATAAAAGAACAGGAAATTACAGTCAATCTTCCTATATCCAGGAAATGTGCATAATTTTAATCACCTTATTAGAGTGAGAGCTGATGTTAAAAGAACCTGGTGAAACCAACAACAAAATGACTTTTATGATAGGAGGCAGATCTTTTCAAACTATTATCAATATTAGGTTAAGACACACTTATAAGCAAATTGAGAATAATTAAATTGAAAGTAACTTCTTTTCCAAATAATTTTTTTCAAACATATTTTTCCTTACCTGTCTCACAATTTGATTAGGGCACTTAATTAGTATCTGCATTGGCCACCAGTCGTCATCAGCCATACGATCTAAAAACCACTGTTAAAAAAAAATACAGCATGACTTTAACATTCAACAAATATTTGTTACATGGGATAACAGTCACATAAGAATTTTATTTCTAGTCAATGTTTTAATTCTTTTAAGTTCTTACCAGAAAAGTTTCTCTAATTGTCATAAAAGTCAAACTCTAAAATCATAATAAGGGTTACCTCATTACACAACTCCATGGAATGCCATTTACATTATAGTACACAATGTGCATGACAATCTGTGGTCCTTTATCATAATAAAATATCATTCTCTTAGCCCTCATAAATGTGACATAGAATCTTTAGTTCTTATTAATTATATATATATATATATTCCCCCCCCCCTTTTTTTTTTTTTTTTTTGAGACAGATCTTGCTCCGTTGCCCAGGCTGGAGTGCAGTGGCACGATCTCGGCTCACTGAAACCTCTGCCTCCCAGGTTCAAGTGATTCTCCTCCCGAGTAGCTGGGATTACAGGCACGCACCACAATCCCTGGCTGATTTTTGTATTTTTAGTAGAAATGGGGTTTCACTATGTTGGCCAGGCTGGTCTTGAACTCCTGACCTCAGGTGATCTGGCCGCCTCAGCCTCCTAAAGTGCTGGTATTATAGGCGTGAGCCATGTCACCCGGCCACCTATTAATAATATGTGATATGAGCATGATTAATTTTCTTTCTGTTTAAAAACAAATTATGATCTAATTAGCACTTGAGAAACTCTGGATCTATCGAACAGCCATGAGAAGAGAAGGAAACAGAGGAACATGTTAAACACCACCAGGAAAATGCAATTAGTCAAAGAAAGCATGTGGGAAATCCTACAGCACAAATGACAAAAAATGGCATGGAGAAAAAAAAAGTAACTTTTATAGATTAAGGAAGACTTAACAAACAGATGAATGCAAAATGTGGAACTTGTTTGAACCACTCATTTAAACCAATCAACTGAAAATTTTTTTTTGAGATGGAGAAAACTGAACATAGGATGGGTATTAGATGACAAGAATAAATCACTTCTGGCCAGGTGTAATGGCTCATGCCTGTAATCTCAGCACTCTGGGAGGCAGAGGCAGGAGGATAGCTTGAAGCCTGGAGTTTGAGACCAGCTGGGCAACAAAGAGACTCTGTCTCTATAAAAAAAGAAAAAAAATTAGCTGAGTGTGTTGGTATGTGCCTGTGGTCCCAGCTACTCGGGAGGCTGAGGGAGGAGGCTGAGGCAGGATTGCTCAAGCCCAGGATTTTGAGGTTGCAGTGAGCTATGACTGTGCACCACTGCATTCAACAGCCTGGATGACAGAGTGACACCCACTCTGGGGGTAAAAAAAAAAAAAAAAGTTATAAAGATGAGAAGTCACTTCTAATATTACTGGGAGTGAATGAAATTGTGGTTGCATATGTTTTTGAAGTTTTCTTATGTTAGAAATATATACTGGGTGTTTATGGATGCATGATCTATTTAGGTTTCCTTTAAAATTCTTCCATTATGGAAAAAAAAGGAATAGGGGATAGATGAAACAAGAAAGAAAGATTATTATTATTTATTGAAGTTGAGGAACAGGTATGTGACAGCTTATTATCCCTTTCTACTTTTGTCCATGTTTCCAAATTCTCATTACAAAATTTCAAAAAGTTACACTTTAGTGTTTGAAATTTCTGAGGAATAGATTCCCTTACTCTATTTCTATAAGGTATAATCAGATGAACTTCTAAATATGCAAAAAACCTTTAACTATAATTCATCTATTATATACCAGACTGCTATTCCCCACTTCTGTTAATTCGTAAGACTTGCCTTCCTATGGAGATTTACAACTCTTTGGTTGCTAACCTAGAAGTTAAGATGGCAATATGATTAAGCTGTCATTACCTTTGAGTGGGTTATCCTTAGGGATGCACCTCTTAAAATAGGGGATGGAGAGAGAAAACCAGGCATAAACTGATCTACTGAGACAGGTGGATAGGTGAATTTTTTTTTGGCGGGGAGAGTGGGGAAAGAGGAAGTGACAGATGATGTTAAGCATTTTCTAACAACATACAAAAGTAGTTAAGAGAGGGATGGAAGAAATAGGAAGATGATGTTGGCCAAAGAGTACAAAGTTTCAGGTTTATTTTTTATTTTTATTTTGTTAAATTGAGACAGAGTCTCACTCTGTCGCCCAGGCTGGAGTGCAGTGGTGTGATCTCAGCTCACTGCTTCTCTGCCTCAAGGGTTCAAGTGATTCTCCTGCCTCAGCCTCCCCAGTAGTTGGGATTACAAGTGCACACCACCATGACCAGTTAATTTTATTTTTAGTAGAGATGTAGTTTTGCATGTGGGCCGGGCTGGTCTTGAACTCCTGACCGCAAGTGATCCGCCCGCCTCAGCCTCCCAAAGTGCTGGGATTACAGGCGTGAGCCACCATGCACAGTCCCAAGTTTCTGTTTTAAATAAATTCTGGGGATCTTATGTACAGCATCATGACACTAGTTATAATATTGTATTGTTTTGAGACAAAACTGATTTAAAAAAAGACTAAAAAATTTTGCACAGTTTACTTGAGATTTGCTAAGGGAGGAGATCTTGTGTCCTCACAACTCGCACATACACATAACTACATGGTGATAGATGTGTTAATTAATTTGAATGTGGGGTAATCATTTCAAAATGTATACATACATCAAATCATTTTGTATACCTTGAATATATAAAATTTTTGTCATTTATACCTTAATAAAGCTGGTTAAGAAATATTTGGAAGACTCTTGAATTTTCTATACATAGTTTTCCTTCTGGTAGATGAAGGGGGGAAAAAATTTTTTTTTCTTTTTTTTTTTTTTTTGAGATGGAGTCTCACTGTGTCGTCAGGCTGGAGTGCAGTGGCACAATCTCAGCTCACTACAACCTCTGCCTCCCAGGTTCAAGCGATTCTCCTGCCTCCGCCTCCCGAGGTGCTGGGACTACAGGCATGTGCCACCACACCCAGCTAATTTTTGTATTTTTAGTAGAGACAGTGTTTCACCACGTTGGCCAGGATGGGCTCGACCTCTTGATCTCGTAATCCACCCACCTTAGCTTCCTAAGGTGCTGGGGTTACAGGCGTGAGCCACCACACCTGGCCAAAACATGAATTTTTAAGTGACTTAATAATCAATTATTTAATCAGTGTAATGGATGTGATATATAAATTATAACTTTCTCAGCTACCAAATGATTTTAAGAATGACTTCCATTTGGCTCCCTGTGACAGATAAAACAACTCTGCTGTAGCATCTTAGATCAGAGGGGGGGAAAAAAAAAAGAATCTTAAACTATGCATTAGTTGTTGAATTATCACCTTACCTCACAAGCTGCCTGACTATTATTAAACTGTTTCGTCAACAGTTCAATCCACTGAAGCATCGTGGGCTAGAAAAGAAAAGTCAGTCAAAGCATATGAACTTCTGAGCCAACAATAACAAAAACCAAAAGATATCTGATAAAAACATAAATGACAAAAAAATCCATAGTAGAAAACACATACCTTTTCTTTAGAATGAATAAATGTCTCTAGGACAAAGGAAGTGCTTAACTGTAAGAAAAGATAAAGCAAAAAAGCTTCAATCATTTTAAAGTAGTAAATTTTGACAGAATTATTTAAAGTTCATATATTTATTACCTTTGCTGTCATTAAGGACACAGCTTTAGGATCTGGTAATGTACTGGGAATACAACTACACAATTGCCACATAAATCTAGAATTTAAAAATAATCATTTAAAATTCACACGTAAGATTTTTTTAAAATGTGTAAAATATCTACTATGAAATTTACCAAACTTACCCAAAATATGTATGTTCAAAAATGTTTTTGTCTTGAAGAAACTGCATGTTATCATGCCAAATCCACTGAAAATAAAAATGTTAACATTAGTGATAAAGCAGTTTACTTCATTACATTTTACCAATATTTTTATTAGACAAAAAGTCTCTTCTAAAAAACCACAAAATAAAATAAAATCCATGCACTTTAAGTTCATTTTGATTTTTTCCCAAGTATATTCATATAAATGGTTGCTACTAATATTTTGTAATTATTAATACTTATCTGGCTACCTCAAGCAATTGTGAGGTTTTTATTGTATTTATAAAAATGCTGCAAGAATTCTGAAATCCTATTTGAAGAGCAAGTATATAATTGAATGAAATATAAGTCATGTTACATTCTGATAAGGTTACAAAAGAGAGGTTTACATTTAAAAGTTGGCACAATACTTAACTCTGGTTAGCAGACCTAAATCAGACGTGATTTGTTTATAAAAATCATGAAAAATTATTTCTGACATTAGGACTGCAGGATCAATGCTGTTTTTGTCTTCATCTGTCTGAATACCTTAAATATGACTTACATTTTTGTCAGTTCTATAAAACTATTTTTACCTAGATGTTCTGACTATTGATATTACTAGCTGTTTTTTGTAGAGTTATACTTCTGATTTTATTTTGGAATTTTGGTTGGTCGGTTCATTTTGAGCTGATTAAAGTCCCAACTTTATCTTTAATCTTCCACTGAAGATTTTCAACTATCCCTCTTTGCCTCTCCAGCCCACTACACTAATTTAGAACTTAATAGGGTTCCTGCTCTACAGTGATATTCCAGAAATCACAGTCTAATCAGTGAATAGCCGGCTTCAGAGTTCTTGGGCATTTCCAGGCACAAAAACTTTCTATTAAGCTGTAGCCCCTGTATCAGACTCTGTATCAGGCAGAGTCTGATAGCATTCTGCCCATCTCATTCAGTACTGTTTATAAATAATAAGGGAGCCCCATTCTAAACTCTGGATTCCAGCCATGGGCTCAGTTGTAGATTCTGTGTCACAATTTTTGTCCCTTCAACCCCATAATGGCCTAACTACTGGTCAACATGATCTCCTGGACCTAAAGGCTGGTAATACTGTGGTTTCTATCATATAAGTGCTTTTGGTTTTGCTCTGTTTTTGTTTTACAAACACTTGTCTGTTTGATAGTCCTTTTTATACTGTATCTATGTATGTGTATAGCTATTTTCTGTGGATTTTTTTTTTTTTTTTTTTTTTTTTTTTTTAAAGACAGGGTCTCACTCTGTTACCTGGGCTGGAGTGCAGCAGCATGATCACAGCTCACTGCAGCCTTGACCTCCCTGGTCTCAGGTGATCCTCCCACCTCAACCTCCTGAGCAGCTGGGACCACAGGTGCGTGCCACCATGCCCAGCTATTATTTTTGTATTTTTTTTTTTGTAGAGATGGGGTTTTGCCCTGTTGCCCAGGCTGGTCTTGAACTCCTGGGGTCAAGCAATCCACCTACTTCCCAAAGTGCTTAGATTACAGGTGTAATCTCATCCTGCCCACCCTGCCCAGCCACCCTAGCTATTTTCTTTTTTCTTTTCTTTTTTTTGAGACAAGTTTCGTTCTTGTTGCCCAGGCTGGAGTGCAATGGCGCGATCTCGGCTCACGGCAATCTCCACCTCCAGGTTCAAGCGATTCTCTTGCCTCAGCCTCCCAAGTAGCTGGGATTACAGGTGCCCGCCACCATACCCAGTTAATTTTTGTATTTTTAGTAGAGAGGGGGTTTCATCATGTTGGCCAGGCTGGTCTCGAACTGCTGACCTCAAGTGATCCACCTGCCTCAGCCTCCCAAAGTGCTGGGATTACAGGTGTGAGGCAACGTGCCCAGCCTTACCCTAGCTATTTTCTACCTAACTGTCCATCCTCATCTTGGGCCACTTTTCCTTGAACTTCCATCACAGCCATACAGGTCACTTTTTGGCTTCCAAAACATGCCAATAAGCTCTGTCCTTCCTAGGCAATTTGTACATAATGTTTTGCCTGGCCCGAAGCATTCTTCACATGATTACCTCTTCTCTAACTCTCAAGTTTCAGTTTAAGGTTAACTTCCTGAAGCATTTCCTGACCCTTTTCTAGCAATCACTATCAACTACACTTTCTGAGAACTGTTACCTTCTATTATCTGTAAGAATCATTACAATTTATAATTAGTTTGCTTAATCTCTTTTATGCTTCTAAAATGTTTTATGTTATCCTTTGGGATTAATAACTATGCTTTAAATGTACAAATCTAAAAAACCACATTCTGGTTTATATCTAAAACCATATTAATATTCATGTACACAGTATTTTACATTTTAAATTTAATTTTAAGAAAACATGTAGGCACACCCATTTAAAAATAGTAAGCTGGAACAATTATAGAAAAAATTGTTGGCTTAGGTCTGCAATGAGGAATTTTCTAATGTACAGGCATATCTCATTTTATTGTGCTTCACTTTACTGCACTTTGCAGATGCTGTATTTTTAAACAAATTGAAGGGCTGTGGCAGCCCTGCAATCAAGCAAGTCTATTGGCACCATTTTTCTAATAGCATGTGCTCACTTTCTGTCTCTGTCACACTGTGGTAATTCCTGAAATATTTCAAACATTTTCATCATTATTATATATTATTATATATTATATTATTATGGTGATCTATAACCAGTATGATTTTTGATGTTACTGTTGTGATTGTTTCAGGGTACCACGAACTACACCCATATAAGACGGCAAACTTAATACATGTTGTGTGTGTTCTGACTGCACCGAGTAGCTGTTCACTTTCTCCCTCTCCTCAGGCCTCCATATTCTCTGAGACAATACTGGAATTAGGCCAATTAACAACCCTACAATGGCCTCTCTGTATCCAGTAAAAGGAGGAGTCACACATCTTTCACCTTAAATCAAAAGCTAGAAATGATTAAGCTTCCTCACTTTAAATGAGGGCCCTGTCACACACACACACACACACACACACACACACACACACACACACACACACACAGAAGTTTGAGAACCACTGATGTAAATAAACAAAATACATCATCATTGTAAAGGTTTTATTTAAAATTTCATTTTACTTCACAAGTGGGCTAATTGTCATTAAACACTGTTGGGTACTTATATAAAGCAAGGTCTAGATTTGTCTAATATCTTTAGGGCAAAAGGCTGTGCACAAAAATGATTCAAATTAATTGTGGTTATGATGATGATTGAGATAAATTTTTATACAAATAGGTAAGTTTAGTAGCTTCAAATCTAATGAAGCCATTTATAATGAATACCATCTAATTCAGCTGCTAAATCCAATTCATGGAATTGAAAAAAGACAACATTCCTGGCTTTTTACCATTAACACATGTGCAGGCAAGATACTAGTTAAAAGCATTTGAGAACAATCCTGTAATCCCAGCACTTTGGGAGGCCGAGATGGGCGGATCAGGAGGTCAAGAGATTGAGACCATCCTGGCTAACACAGTGAAACCCCTCTCTACTAAAAATACAAAAAAGACATTAGCTGGGTGTGGTGGCGGGTGCCTGTAGTCCCAGCTACTAGGGAGGCTGAGGCAGGAGAATGGCATGAACCCAGAAGGTGGAGCTTGCAGTGAGCTGAGATCCCGTCACTGCACTCCAGCCTGGGCGACAGAGCGAGACTCCTTCTCAAAAAAAAAAAAAAAAAAGACTTGATCCCAATATTACAAAAAAAAAATTTTTTTTTTATCCAGATAGTAAAAGCTGAATTGCCTAGACAAATGCATACAATTTAATCAGGTGTGCATTTCTGGAGAAGATTTGCTTTTTTGTGTTTTTGGCTGACTGAATTCCTAACACCAAACCAAAACACATTCAGTTATGTACTCAATAATGTACTATTACTACTTACAACATTCTGAAATGAAGCCTCATAACTACAAATGAACACATTTGTATTCCTTAATATGTAAAATACATTTTTTTTTGAGACAGTATCTCACTCTGTTGCCCAGGATGGAGTGCAGTGGTGCGATCTCGGCTCCGCCTCCCAGGTTCACGCCATTCTCCTGCCTCAGCCTCCCGAGTAGCTGGGACTACAGGCGCCCGCCAACATGCCCAGCTAATTCTTTGTATTTTTAGTAGAGATGGGGTTTTACCATGTTAGGCAGGATGGTCTCAATCTCCGGACCTCGTGATCCGCCCGCCTCGGCCTCCCAAAGTGCTGGGATTACAGGCATGAGCCACCGCGCCCAGCCCATTTTTTTTTTTTGAGACAGAGTTTTGCTCTGTTGCCCAGGCTGAAATACAGTGGTGTGATCTCGGTTCACTATAACCTCCGCCTCTCAGGTTCAAGGGCTTCTCTCGCCTAGGCCTCCTGAGTAGCTGGGATTACAGGTGCCCACCAATACACCCAGCTAATCTTTGTATTTTTAGTACAGCTGCAGTTTTGCCATGTTGGCCAGGTTGGTCTCAAACTCCTGGCCTCACGTGATCCACCTGTCTGAGCTTCCCAAAGTGCTGGGATTATAGGCATGAGCCACTGCGCCTGGGTGTAAAATACATTTTAATGGCATTTCAATTACAATGCATGCTTGAGGGCATGGGTCTGTATCATGAGACACAACAGAAGGAACACTTACAAACCCATCATCCAATCTAAGAAGCAAAACATTACTAACCTCACAAATTGTTAAGTCACTCTGATTCCCTCAACCTTTCTGCCACCTTTTTAAATTTTTTTGAGATGGAGTCTTGCTCTGTCACCCAGGCTGGAGTGCAGTGGTGTGATCTCCATTCACTGCAACCTCCGCCTCCCAGGTTCAAGCAATTCTCTGCCTCAGCCTCCCAAGCAGCTGGGATTACAGGCGCCCACCACCACGCTCGGCTACTTTTTGTATTTTTTAGGAGAAACAGAGTTTCACCATTTGGCCATGCTGGTCTTGAACCCCTGACCTCGTGATCTACCCACCTCGGCCTCCCAAAGTGCTGAGATTACAGGCATGAATCACCACACCCAGTCGCCTACTCTCTTTTAGTGATATTTTCTACTCCATTTAATCTCATTCATTTTCATTTACGGGTCTTATATCAGTATTACCAAGACTATTTGTAAATACTCTTAAGATCTACTCAGAATTGCAGATATCAACCTGTAGAACCTGTTCTTACACTACAGTATTCCTTGCATAAACACTTAACATATTTTTAAAATGTTGCTCAAATGAAATTAACTTATACCTCTAGTAACTCTGACGAAACATCAAATTTGTATTCTCTGCCATTTTCTTCCTCTGGTTCCATGCGTTTGTAAAACAGCATATATGCACTGTGTGTCTTTAAGAGGCAAGAAAAAAATTTATTTTCATTTTGACAAAGTATTACTCTAAAAGTAGACAATGCAGAAGAAAAAACAATATAAAATTATACATGAAAAAAATGGTTACCTTTTCAAAAGAGAAGTCCATAAATTTATCTGTAACAGAATCATAGGTCTTGGTCTGTTTAAAAATACAAAAGTTTTACTTCTTTGAAAAAATGGGTATACTCAGCTATATTTATATATAAATTATTTCATAAACAGCTATTTTATACTTAATAGTAACTTTGTAAGTAGTTTTCAAACACCGCCGCCTTCATAAAAATTCTACGTACTTCACAATTTGGCCAATATATCCTAATATCTTTTTTTTAGTTTTTATTATTTTTATTATTTTTAGATAGAGAACACTATAAAGTTGAGACTGAGAAAATTTTACTATAACAAAAGAAAACAAATGATGACAGTGAGGCAAGAAAGTAGTTGGCCTTGTCCTAATTTTGGTAAATGCAATAAATAAGTGGAAATAAAAACTGAATTTAAATAGTTCTTTCTCAGCAACATTATAAATGAGGAAAGCATATTATTAAAATATCTCATTGGCACGAAGCTGTAATTTATTCTGACATGTCAAAACATCTACCTCCACCAATCCTTCACAAACATAATTTTGAACCTCAAAGTTGTAAGTAACTTTATGCAGATGAAATGGTTTTGTCAGTACACACTTTAAGCAATCCAACTGATGGGAGACAGCAAAAGAAGCATCAGAAAAAGGTAAGAGTCAGAAAAAGGTAAGAGTCAACCAAAGATAATACATACACACACACACACACACACACACACACACACACACACACACACGATGCAAAGGAAAGAAAAGGGACCATGAAGCAATAAGAAGCAATCAGTAAAGATCTAGAATTTGAATAAGAAAGAAAGGTCATAGGACAAAAGGAGGCTGAACAAAGGATCCCAGAGAGGTAAGTGAACATATGGCATATTACGAGAATTTAGTGGTGGGGCTTCTGAGAACTTAAAGACTGTTTCTTAATGAGTAAGGAGACGAGGATTCTACTGGTAATGCTGGAGAACTTCAGGTGTGCTGTGACAGAAAAAATTTAAAAAGCCAAGGGAAGCAGACAAGCAGCATTATGGGCAATGAAATCAGAAGGGACAGAGGCAGACATTTTAAAACACAAAGATTCAAAACATTTTTTTTTCTTTGAGACGGAGTTTTGCTCATCTCCCAGGCTGGAGTGAAATGGCTTGATCTCAGCTCACTGCAATCTCCGCCTGGTTCAAGGGGTTCTCCTGTCTCAGCCTCCTGAATAGCTGGGATTACAGGTGCCCGCTATCAAACCTGGCTAATTTTTTGCGTGTTTTTAGTAGACATGGGGTTTCACCATGTTGGCCAGGATGGTCTCGAACTCCTGACCTCAAGCAATCCGCCCGCCTCAGCCTCCCAAAGTGCTGAGATTACAGGCCTGAGCCACCATGCCCAGCGTACATTTTATATTTTTTTGAGACGGAGTTTTGCTCTTGTTACCCAGGCTGGAGTGCAATGGCGCGATGTCGGCTCACTGCAACCTCCACCTCCCGGGTTCAAGCGATTCTCCTGTCTCAGCCTCCTGAGTAGCTGGGACTACAGGCACCCGCCACCACGCCCGGCTAATTTTTACATTTTTAGTGGAGGTGGGGTTTCCCCACATTGGCCATGCTGGTGTTGAACTCCTGACCTCAGGTGATCCACCTGCTTCGGCCTCCCAACGTGCTGGGATTACAGGCGTGAGCCACCATGCCCGGCCTCAAAACATTTTTTAAAGATACTTTACCATAAAATATGTAAAAGAAAAAAAAAGTGGACCTGCAATTTGAAAAACTACTTTTTAAGAGAAGAGCCTTCCTCTTCTTCCTTCATTTTTTTTTTTTTTTTTTTAAAAGGAAACATTCGGCTGAGTACGGTGGCTCATGCCTATAATCCCAGCACTTTGGGAGCCCAAGGTGGGCGATCACAAGGTCAGGAGATCAAGACCATCCTAGCCAACATGGTGAAACCCCGTCTCCACTTAAAACACAAAAATTAGCTGGGCATGGTGGCGCGTGCCTGTAATCCCAGCTATTCGGGAGGCCGAGGCAGGAGAATCACTTGAACCAGAAGTTGGAGGCTGCAGTGAGCCAAGATCACGCCACTGTACCCCAGCTTGGTGACAGAGTGAGACTGTCTCAAAAAAAAAAAAAAGGAGACATTCTAGGCATAACATCTACAGATGCAATTGGTTTAGTGGTGGCTTTAGCAGTAACTCAATATTTACTTCCCTATTCTACCCATTTCTAAATTGTTAGCAAGTGGACTGCTTTTCTTTTTCCATTCAGCAGAGTAGACAAGAACACCGAGAAGCAATAAGGAAGCCCTTCATTAAAATCTGGAATGTGTATCATTTCTCAACTTTCGGCTAAGATCAACTATAAAATCCAGACTGTAAATGGTTAATTCATAACAAATATGGTTAAGTCAAAAAAACAACTTTATTTGGGCTAATCTATGAAACGGAAATGACTAATATTTGTCTTGTGAGAATCAAGAGAATATTTTAAAACAGTTCTCAGAAAATTGATACTAGGATAAACTGCCTATAGAGAAGTGAAATTATTACAATACTCCAACCCAAATGTCTTTTCAATATCTATTGTTGGCTAGGTGCCATGGCTCACGTCTGTGATCCCAGCACTTCGGAGGCTGCAGTAGGTGGATTACTTGGGTTCAGGGGTTTGAGACCAGCCTGGCCAACATGGTGAAACTCCACCTCTACTAAAAATACAAAAATTGGCTGGGGATGGTGGCAGGTACCTGTAATCCCAGCTACTCCCGAGGCTGAGACTCGAGAATAGCTGGAACCCAGGAGGTGGAGGTTGCAGTGAGCCGAGATCGCGCCACTGACTCCAGTCTGGGCGACACAGCAAGAATCCGACTTGGGGGCAAAAAAAAAAAAAAAAAGTCTTTTCTCAATTATGTCACATAGAAGATGTCCTTTTTCTATCCAGTATCTAGTGTTATCCAGGTTGCTGCTGGTGTTATAAAAAGCACTGAAAGAACAATCCTTTAAAACTTAGCTCAAGCCAACTTCCTTGCCAAACATTTTTTTAATTTCTTTTTTTCTTATTGTGAATCAGGTAGCCTCTTGAGCCACAGTAAGCTAAGAGAGACTCCCTTGTCAAAGATTTTTCAGATTAAGTCAGTAAACAGTAATTTCTCTTTGCTCTGATCCCACAGAATTCACTGAGTAAACAATTTACTCAATCTTATTCTCATGGCACTGTAATTCAACTCCCATACTACTAAGCTTTTTATTTCTCTTACCTTCTTAATCGGGCTGTTGTGGAAAGCAGAAATAGCACTTTAAAAATATTTCTGAGAACATACTAAACTTCCAATAAATATAAACTGAATAAATTTTTGATTTAATCATAGCAATTAAAAGAAAGTTAAGCGACTCTGCTATTGGATTTTATGATATGACAAAGCACTTGGAAGGACACAAACCATTTATAATTTCTGAATAAAACTTACCGTCATCTCTCCACCAAAACATTCAGATGCAAGTTGAGCAGAATCAAAAGGTTTTACCTCAGCATCATTAAAAAGATACCTAAAATAGAGCATATAGTATTAATCTAGTATGCATATAATGAGTATCTTCATATTATGTCTACTATTTTTTGAATAACCAATGTTACAAGTGTCAAATTATTTCATGAGGTAAATTCTAAGTTCTTATTTTTACAATTCTAATCTACTAGAAATTGGAAATATAATTTTATAACATATTCTTAAGCACCTTATAATCAGATAGATCCATTTATGACCTAGGATTAACAAAAGAATTCATAAAAGAAATAAAAAAGTTTGCTTTAATATAACATGTAACGCTATTAGGAAAAATTAAGAGATTGGGAGAACTTTCAAAGGTACCATTTCAAAATTTATGATCAAAAAAAGATTCAAAATATACTTATGGAAACATTCAAATGGATAAAAAAAGGAAAAGGCACCATGGACCTGATGGGTGAAGGAGTGAAAAATAACTCAATGAAATTATTCTGCTAACTGAAAATCAATTAACAATTGTACATTTTCTTCAAATCAATATCCCCAGCACTTAGAACAGTGCCTAGCACACATATAGTACCTATAGGCCAGACCCTACCTAACAATATCTGAAGACCAAAAAACAGGTACTGGGGACTGGTTTAATGACTTCCAACCATTAACTTGATAAAAGGATAAAAAGAAGTGTGTGTGGTCCTCCCAATAGGAGGTGAAACAAGCAGAGCATGCAGGTAACTTCTAATGGCACATATAAGGCTACACTGTAGAAGATATTCAATGAACAGCTCTTGAATGAATAGAGAAGATAAGAGTTGAAATGTTGTCTATAAATCTCCTAAAGTTGTCTGCAAAACTGTGTTCATTTCTCCAAGGAAAGGATTCAAATTCTCAAGAGTTAAAAGATCCGTATGTTTAAGAACTGATTTACACTGTCTGTTGAAAGTTATCTTCATTTAAAAATTTTGTCTGCCTCATTTCCAACTTTTGTGGCAAGTTTTTAGAAAACTAAACACTGAAAACATATCAGAAAACTACCATAAATTGTTAAAGAAGTTTTGAAATATTTAAAACTCACCATTTATTGTTTTTATAAGCATGGGGATTTACTATATCTCTGATAAAGCTATAATAGTGTCCACCATCTGCCGTTCCTGTGTGAACAGTCACTCCTATCAAGTCATATTCATAGCTCTCTGAGTCTTTTGAATGATCACTGACTTCTTTAAAACCTGAAATGATTTACACAGAATGGAAATAATTTTCCAAACTTCACAACAGTTACTTAGAAACACTTTTTAAAATAAACTTTATCAATTACAATATTTTAAGTCATTTTAATAAAATAAAAATAATTTTCCCAATGTGACGAGTTACTTAGAATCACTTTTATAATAAACTTTATTTACAGAAATAGGCACAAATAGTTTATATGTTAAATAGGTACAAAACAACTATCTGCTAGTCATTCACCATCCTTAGCCTACTACCATAAAGGACATATTAAACAAACCACTAGAAAAACAACCATGTGTTAATACATAATTATGGACAACTTCAATATAAAGTATAAATATAAAATATTTCTTTAATCTGACTAATCTTTTGAAATAGGTAATATAAAATGCTCCATTCTATTTAATCTTTACTAGGAGCAGACAAACCTAAGACCTAAAAAGGAATTAGCATACTTCTTTTATTCTCATGTTAAGAAAAGTGGTTTAAACATGGTTTCCTTTTAAAAAAAAGGAAAACGAACCAATGTACTGGCAGCTTCCAAATATATATCAGTTAATAAAAAACACTACGTATTAAGAGATTTGTGTAGACAGAAACAAAATAAAGAAAAAGGTACACTTCCTATCCCCAAAGATTTAAAATATAAAGGTAATAAAAGATACTGAGGAAAAAAAATGTAGAGTGGTCTAATAAGTTTGAAGATGATGTATGATTTATGATCTGTATTCCCACTACCACACAGAAAGGGAAAAGTAGAATACAGAATAAGGAAATGATGAGATCTGGCTGACTTGAGGGTACAGTCTGAACTGGAACATGAAGAGATAATTAGGTCAGTAAGAGAAGGGTATGACTCAAGGTGTCAAGACAGTGGCTGAGGAGTGTAGATATGCTTATGGAGGCAGTGCCAGGATCTGACTGCATCACTTGTGGCCTAACAAATTCCTTTATCCTGGCATAAATTCTGCTCTCTCCACAAGTGGAAACATCACAAGAAATATAATGAAGCACAGCTGTGAGGAGGTTCTGCTCTACTCTTCCAGAAAAAAATTTTTTTTCAAATAGATGGAGTCTTGCTCTACTATCCAGGCTGGAATGCAGTGGCATAATCATAGCTTACTGCAGCCCTGGACTCCTGGGCTCAAGTGATCCTCCCATCTCAGCCTCCTAATAGCTGTGACCATAGGCATGTGTCACTGCACCTGTCTAATTTTTCAAATGGTTTAATAATAGGTCTAAAAAGTAGAATGTATACATACAATGCCCACTTCTTAACTTCACCTGTCATCTCTACTGGTCCATGTCCTACAACTTATTTTTATTTTTTTGAGACAGAGTCTCGCTCTGTCGCCCACACTGGAGTGCAGTAGTGCAATCTCAACTCACTGCACCCTTCCTAAAGAAGGATAAACGAGCAAGAGGCCGGGCACAGTGGCTCACACCTGTAATCCAAGCACTTGAGGAGGCCAATGCAGGTGGATTGCCTGAGGTCAGGAGTTCGAGACCAACCTAGCCAACACGGCGAAACCTTGTCTCTACTAAAAATACAAAAATTAGCTGGGCCTGGTGGTGCGTGCCTATGGTCCCAGCTTCTTGGGAGGCTGAGGCACAAGAACTACTTGAACCTGGGAGGTGGAGTGAGCCAAGATCATGCCACTGCATTCCAGCCTAGGAGACAAAATAAGACTGTCTCAGAAGACCAAAAAAAAAAAAAAAAAAAAACCCCCACAAAAAACAACATAAAAAGACTTACCCCACGAGATTTAAGCTCCACAAGAGCAACAACCGTGCTTATCCTGTTCACCACTGTGTCTCCAGTATACAGAAGAGTGCCTAGGAACATAGTCCTAGTAGATACTAAATATTTACTGGTTAACTGACTGAATGCATGACATTGTCTTAACCTTCTCCCTTCTAAGATTCAATTTTTGTTAACTGTGTAGTTGATGACAACTTTATAATTATGCCTACCTTGTTATGGAGATTGACAATAATCACAGACAAGAGAAAGAAATGAAAAAATCACCTTCTTTCCTCTCACTCTTTCCCATAAGAAAATCTTCTGTATAGGGCGTCATGTCCAAACGTAATGGGAAGGAAAAGTGTGTATTCACTTTCTCTTTCATCATCGTGACCATATTAAATGTGTATCTCATAGTATTGAAACTCAAAATGCGAGGCAATTTCTTAAAACATGCCCTGAGAGACAAGAAAAAAATTAATAAAGATTATTTTTTACAAATACTTCAGTTGGTTTGATTTCTGTTATGCTATATCCATTTCAATTTTCAACTCAGAGTTAAGAAGTATAGTAGTTCCCCTTATCCACAGGGGATACCTTCTGAGAACACCCCGTGTCTGCCTGAAACTGAGGACAGTATCAAACTCTATATACACTACGGTTTCTCCTAAACCAACATACCTATGACAAAGCGAATTTAGAAATTAGGCACAGCAAGAGATTAACAAGTATTAATAAAATACAACAATTATAACAATATACTGTTCACAATTTCACAGATTTTAGCAACCTCATCGTATGTTTTCTTTCCCTATTCCAGATAAAGTTTAATTTATAAATTAGGCACAGCAAGAGATTAACAAGTATTAATAAAATAGAACAATTCTAACAATACACTGTTCACAATTTTACAGATTTTAGCAACCTCATCGTATGATTTTTTTCTTTTCATATTGAGAACTTTAAGGCATTTTACAGCTTCTCTTTGGCAAAGCCCAACTGTTAATGAACACTACTCTTGCACTTTGGTGCCATTAAGTAAAATAAAGGTTCCTTGAATACAAACAGTACAATACTGCGAAGGTAACCAAAAGGGCCACTAAGTGACTAATGAACAAGTAGTGTATACACCATGGACATGCTGGACAAAGGGATGGTTTACATCCCAGGTGGGGACTGTGCCAGATTTTATCATGCTACTCAGTCCAGTGGGCAATTTAAAACTTAAGAATTATTTTTGAAATTTTCTATGTAATATTTTCAGACCTTGCCTGTCTGCAGGTAACAAACTGCAGAAAGAAAAACCACAGAGAAGGGAGACTATAGAAGTATTCTAAATCACATTCTTATTAAAACTATACAGTCAGTCCCTGAGCACTAGGCAGCAGCACTCCTGCTCGCCCTTTTCCAACGGCCCACCACTGAAGGGCAGCCCGATGCCTGGCAGCCACCCTCTAGCACCATGTCACAGAGCAGAGTCCCCACGATGCAGAAGAAGAGTCTGCAGGGCTCCTGGCAGAATTACACTTTAGCAATAATAGGAATGGGGGCAGTGTTCCAGCCTGTTTCTGTTTCTACCAGTGACATGGAAAAAGTACTACTAGATGCCCAGCATGAGTCTGGACAGAATATCTCCAAGAGTTCTCACTGTGACAGGATACCTCGCTCTCAGACATCAGAAGATACTAACAGAGCTGCTGAAACAGCCAGCCATAGCATTGGAGAGAAAAACAGCTCTCAGGCTAGGCGCGGTGGCTCACGCCTGTAATACCAGCACTTTGGAGGGCTAAAGTGGGCAGACTGCTTGAGGCCAGGAGTTCGAGACCATTCTGGCCAACATGGCAAAACCATGTCTCCACTAAAAATATAAAAATTAGCTGGGTGCGGTAGTGCACAAGCCTGTAATCCCAACTACTCGGGAGGCTGAGGTTGGAGGGAGCCAAGATCACACCACTGCACTCCAGCCTGGACAACAGAGCGAGACTCAAAAAAGAAAAGAAAAACAGCTCTCAGTCTGAGGAAGGTTATATTGAGAGAAGGAAAGAAGTTGAAAGCATTTTGAAAGAAAAACCTCAGATTGGACATGGGATTGGTTGAGTTAACCAGAAAATATTCCCCCCAAGGAGTTCCTCTCATAAGGGCTTGCTGTACATTAACGCATATACTTTTTACAACAATCCTATAAGGAAGGTACTGTTAGTCTCTCCTGTTTATAGATTAAACACCCCACATGCATGGCCACTCTCAGCATGAGAAACACAAACATCATGAAGAAAGAGGGCATATTCTCTGCAAAATTTCTGAAGGTTTTTCTTCCATCTCTGCTGTTCTCTCATTTACTGGCCACTGGATTGGGAATGTCTATTAAAAGGTGGCTGACAACCTCCACCAGCACCTTTTCATGAAGAATTGGAACCTGGCTGTTCATTAGTGGGATTGTATTTGAGCTTGCACATAGTTAATTGAAGAGCTGTTATGATCCTTGTATGGCTGCATCACTTGTGTGTACTTGTTCTGTAACTCCTGCATTCCTAATTTAGTAAAATCAAAGAATAGACACTAAAATCAGGCCGATCTACAATTATACTTAAGGGATCAATAGGCAAGTCAGAATGATTAATATCTACTGTAGGCTGGGTGCGGTGGCTCACGCCTGTAATCCCAGCACTTTGGGAGGCTGGAGCAGGCGGATCATGAGGTCAGGAGATCGAGACCATCCTGGCTAACACAGTGAAACCCCGTGTCTACTAAAAATACAAAAAATTAGCCGGGCGTGGTGGCGGGCGCCTGTAGTCCCAGCTACTCAGGAGGCTGAGGCAGGAGAATGGCGTGGACCCGGGAGGCGGAGCTGGCAGTGAGCCAAGATTGTGCCACTGCACTCTAGCCTGGGTGATCAAGCGAGACTCCATCTCAAAAAAAATAAATAAATAAATAAGTAAATAAATAAACGAATCTACTGTAAAAACTTGGTAGTAAATTTTCACTGGATATTAGACATAAATATCTGAATACAAACAATTTTACTAGTCTTGATGTAGTACTGTAAAAATTATCTATAACTTAATTCAGCTAAAAAACTATATTTCAAAAGAATGAATAACACTGATATTAAAATCACTACTTTAAAGAGTTTGTTCAAAATAAATATTGTGGCCTTATATTACACTATTGTAGAAAATATTGTTTAATTTAAATGAATGCAGGTTGTCTACTAAAGATTACACATAACTATGCTAATTTTTCTTAATAAATAGAAGCCAAGATATAACTACAAACTCAGCTGTATCGTTTATATACGAAACTATTGTTGCTTTTGCAGTATAAGGTCTTCATCCTCTGATTATTAGGTAACCACCTTGGATGATGAGTCAGCTGCTCAGTATCTTTTTACTCTTCATCACTCTGCATTTGTTAATTTATTCCTATCCTTTGTCCTCAACTTTTGTGTGCTCTTAAAAATCAGCTTTATTCTAAGCAAATTTGTGTCTACTTTAAAAGACTGGAAATGAAAAAAATCTTTGCCAAATCCATCAGATTACTGTATTTACATAAGGTTTAACATCAAATGCCATAAAAGCTTCTTGATGAAACCAGGACTGTTCCCCATTTGGACATTTTTTTCTTTCTACAGCATCCTTGTTAGAAAGGCCGCCCCCTTGATATACTGTATATACGTGACTGTGCATTTGTTTCATCTTTCCGTACTCAATTCGGTTGTTAAATAAACATTTTAATTTGTTTAAAAAAAAAAAACAGCAAACACACCCACAACTTTTTCCATTCTGAAAAGATTTTCCTATGTCGAGATAAGAAAAATAAAATGTTATGGTAGACTACGGTAAACACCATGATAAAGATACAAAAGGGTGCTATGGAAGCATGAAAAGGAGTTCCATCATTCTCCAGGGCCAAGGAGGTCTTTGGTTCAGAGTTTTCCTTTCTTCCCTAAATAAAAGGAATCAAAGTACTTATTTTTGTGAACCAGAATTGCAAAGTCTGGCTGTAATCCCTTATTAGATGAATGACCCTATATAAGTTACTTAACCTCTCTGAGCTCAATTGCTGGGTTGTAAAATGGAGATTACCTACCCGATACTATCTTTGAAACACTGCCTGGCAAACAGCATTCAGTTAAGTGTCAATTGCTGCTACTACAGTAACAATAGCAGCAGCAGCAGCAGCAGCAGCAACAGCAGAAAATCAACTGGTCACCTAAATCCTATACCATAACATATTGCTAGTTCAAGTTCAATTTAAACAGACAAAAATATACAAACTCTGATTTACAAAAAAATGAATTTTAGGGAATAATTTTCCACTGCACATAAATATCAAACGAGAATTTATTTAAACCAAGAACACAGTCAAAAATACAAAAAGTATGAATTTAGGGAAACAAGGAATGAAAGATGTTACAGGCAGAGGGAATAAAAAGTTCAAAAATTCACTATTTTAGATTATTTGGGAGACTGACAAATGAAGTATAACAGAGTCAAATGTATGTAATGATAGAGTGTGAACTTCATCCTAACAATTCTGAAGAATAACTAATGAGCTTGTGGCATGGGGTGAAACCATGCATTGTGTCAATAAGTAAGAGAGATGAGCAGATCCAGAAAGATTGGAGAACAGGTGACAGAGCACAGCAAAGCATTCTAAACTAAGATGACAAAACAAAACAAAACACATCACTAAACTACCTTCTGGAAAAACCCAATGCTTTTATTCAGCTGTCATTTTCTTAGTTTAGAATGCTTTGTCAGTAGCATATTAGTAAAAAATTGGTATTATGGTGATTGATAAGTTACTGAGGTAAAATGAATAGATTGAGAAAACCAGAGGTCTGAAAATAGAACAGTATATGATCCTATTGAGGATAATAAGCACTTTGTTCACTTCCTCAATTGGCCCATTTCTGTTGATTATTATGTTAGTACAGAGATATAAAAGTATAGTAAGAACAAAAATGACTGACTACCTGGGAGAGATGTGACAGGTATTTCAGAAAAACAGCAGAATCTTATCAGTCAAAAGAAGGGAGTTATCAAGAACGACAGATTTATTCAATACATTTATTCCAATTAGAGATTCTCCAAAGAACTTGACTCAGACCCTTGATGATCTTTTGGTGACTCATTTATTATATTCCTCTACAGCAGTTAACTTTTGACTGACTCCATTTTATATACGTCCCTAACTCTTATCCTAACCCAACTCTCATCAGATGAGTTTGTCTTCTTCGTGTAATTGCCTACATAGCTACGCTTTCATTTGACTATGTCCACCTAACAACTTGCCCAACTACCCTTCTTGAAATTGGAAAAATGAATACCATCCCTTTCAAATAAATACTGACCTGGAAAACCTCCTCTTAAGCAATTTTAGTATCTTATTGTATAATGACTTTTTATTCTCTGCCTTCAAACATGCTCAGATATCTTTCATCTAGAAAAATCCTTTGTTTGAGCCCCAAGACTCTTTCTGGCTACTATTTTCCTTGCTGTTTTTATTGCTTTTTTTTTTTTTTGAGACATAGTCTTGCTCTGTCACCCAGGCTGGAGTGCAGGGGCATGGTCTTGGCTCACTGCAACCTCTGCCTCCCAGGTTCAGGTGATTCTCCTGCCCCACCCTCCCAAGTAGCTGGGACTACAGGCGTGAGCCACCACAACCGGCTAATTTTTGTATTTTTAGTAGAGACAGGGTTTCACCATGTTGGCCAGGCTGGTCTCAAACTCCTGACCTCAGGCAATCCACCTGCCTTGGCCTCCCAAAGTACTGGGATTACAGGCATGTGCCACCGTGCCTGGCCTGTTGCCAAACTTTAAAAATCAATGATTTATGCTTGATTCCATGTGTCCCGACAATGTTGCTTCTATTCCTATAACCTGACAAAACACATCACTAAACTACCTTCTGGAAAAACCCAATGCTTTTATTCAGCTGTCATTGTCTTTCATCTCTGTGAATTATATTAATTGATTATTTTCTTCTTGAGATTCTCCTCCCAGTTTGGGGGTTACCATTTTATCCTAATTTTCTTTCTTTCCTTGTCTCTCTTCTGTCACTTTGTCCTCTGTACTTTTAGGTTGGCTTAGCTCTTAAGTCTTTTCCAACAATTACATTATTTCTCAGGCAGATATTCTGATAGATTCAATCACACAGATAAACCTAAAACTTGGATGGCAATAATCTGATGCCATCGTGTTACCAATCTTGTTTTCCACTACTGTTCCATGTGAATACACTACTTAAAAATGCAGGCTGGCCTAATCCTAGATTTTTTGCACATTCAAGGACATTTCTATTTCTCTGCATTCGTTCTTAGTAACTAACTGCATAAGATGCTCTTTTCAATCCGATTTCTATTTGTCTTTCAATATAAAATTAAAATGTTTACTCAACTACTCTGTCCTAAACTTGCCATTTTATGGCTCTTAAGAGCCTTTTGGCCAGGTGCAGTGGCTTCATGCCTGTAATATCAGCATTTTTGGAGGCTGAGGTGGGCGGATTGTTTGAGCCCAAGAGTTCAAGACCAACCTGGGGAACATGTGAATCATCAAAGAATAATAATAAAGGGAAAAAATTGTATAATGTTTGGCACGCATTAGTAGAACAAGTATAGCATTTTTTTTTCTTTTTTGAGATAGGTTCTCAATTTTTTGCCGAGGCTGGAGTGCAATGGCACAATCATGGCTCACTGTAAGCTACCTCCCAGCCTCAAGTGATCCTCCCGATTCAGCCTCCCGAACAGCTGAGACTGTAAGTGCATGCCACGTCTGGCTAATTTCTAAAACTTTTTTAGCAACAGTGTTTCCCTATGTTGCCCTCAAACTCCTGGGCTCAAGTGCACATCCTTGAACTCCCAAAGTGCTGGGATTACAGATGGGACCCACTGTATGTGTAAGGCAATTTTTATTTGAAGACCACTAAATTATTATTTTCCAAGAAATTCTACTGAAAATGAAAGCTGAGGAAGAATATTTTTGATCAATGTACCAAAATATACACATCCAAAGATAACAACAATACACTGGAAGGGAACCAGCTTGAATGTATTATAGTATAAACACTTATTTAACACTCTAACTCAACAGTTACTAACTCCCAAATCTACCTCTATTCTAGACCTCTCACCAAGCTCTAACTGTAACAGCCAACTGCCTGCAGGACCTTTCTAGCTGGATGCCCCAATGAGAACTCAAATTCAACTTGATTATCTCCCTGAAATTTGCTTATTTGTATCTTAGGAATCAGCATTGGGAAAGTTTCTTTATTCTGTGACTCCATGTCTTCACATGTAAAATGGGGATAATAACAGCATCTATTGCAAAGAAATGCTGTGAGGATTAACTGGATTAAAGTTCTCACAACAGTGCTTGCTAAATAAAAAATACTTTGGAAAGGCTAGCTAGTACAAAAAGTCCCTAGTTAGCTACTACAGAAAATTCCAAAAATAAACAATTCATAAGTGGTGTGGTGTTCTGAGTATCATGATAAAATCTTGTACCATCCTGCTTAGGATATGAATCATCCCTTTGTCCAGCTTATCTGTGTTGCAGACACTACCCACTTATTGGTCACTTAGTAGCTCTCTTATTACATGGGCTGTCATAGTATTGCAATGCTTCTGTTCAAGTAACCCTTATTTGACTTAATAATGGCCCCAAAGGGCAAGAATACTGAGCTTCATTTGTAATTTAAACTTTATCATAGGTATGTTATGCACAGCAAAAAGCAGTATATATAGGGTTCAGTACAATCTGAGGTTTCAGACATCTATTGTGGGGTCTTGCAACATTTCCCGAGGATAAGGGGTTCCACTGTATTACTTAAGAAAATGTCACAAAAGCTAGACATCTGAGACTCGATACAGATAATGATGAAAATGATCAATGTACTTATCGTCCATGTATCTGCTCCCCAAAATCTATACTGTTTCAAGTTGAGTGATTACCACTTTCATACAGCTCAGTATATGTCAAAATAAATGGTAATTCACTGAACAACTAGATGAAAAGTTGCTCCATGAGACTGAGCTCCATGCAGCTGATTTTACCTTCATCATATAATTTCCACCAAAGTTTAATCTTAGTTTACCCTTAGTTTGTCTTTCACTTCTACGGTGAACATAATAAAAATCACATTTGAAAAAGCATACCTTTTTTCAGCTCGTACTTTCTTCCCACAATGAGAACAAGTATACATGTTATCACCTTCCAAAGTGTCTTTTATAGTAACTTCATCAAGAGATTCCTGTGTATAAAACCACATTTAAAAGTTTCATATTATTGTTTATAGCATGCAAATATACAAAAGGTGGCAATTACAATTTTGACAGAATGCTCAGCAAAAAAATTTTTTTTTTAAAAGTGAATTCTTAAATTTTAGTAAAAAACTGTTTTTCCTCATATTAAGATATTCTATGAATCTTAGTAACTTTTTTGAAGGGTTAATTAAAAATTTAAATTTTGATTGGGCAAGAAAAAGCTTTATGGTTGATGTTTAACTCTTATTTGAATAGTACAGTAAGAAGAAAATACATAAAAACATGAAAAAAGTTTAAAAATATCAAGATGACCAACACAAACCCGCTATACACAAATAGGTAAAAGCATAAAGTAAAAAAATTATGTGCATTATTACTCACATAAATGTTCTTCATATCAGCCACTTGGCACCTCACAGTATAAAACTCTTCAGCAGTTTGACTAACATGTTCACAATCCTAATCAATACACATAAAAAATTAATAAAAACTAGTAAATTATAATATAAATGAAAATATATTAAGATCTCCAAAAAGTAAAAACCAGGTATAATACTTACCAAGGATACAACATTGTTTGTAATTACACCTCCAAATAAACTTTTGACGGTATTTTTCTTTAATATAAAACAAACAAAAAATAAGAAACTAGTTAAAACGCAGGCAAATTTGTTCAAATTTCAAAGAAACTTTTCAGTATTCTGATACTAACCAGTTCGGGAGACATTTCTTCGATTTTGGTAATTAGATCAGTAAAAAACTCTGTCATATCTTTCTGTTCCCCAGTATTCAGAGGCTGCTTATCCATGGTGTATGTTTTACAGAAAGGTCTAGGATTATATGCTTTGCATTCACTCTCCTGCAAATAAAAAGGGGAACATTCTAAGTGTCAGATAAAAATAAGAAAATTATAGGTTCTTCAATGAACATATAACAAAAACAAAAGAACAGGTAGTAAATCTACTAAGTTAGTTTTAAATGGTTGCTTCTATTTCTTTCTGTTTAGTTTTCATAGTATTTTTAATTTAATGGTCTTGGTGCTAGAAGATTCTTAAATTACCTAGGATATTTGTATTTTCAAGTCAAGGAATTTCTAGGAAGAAATCTGAGACTCAAATGACTCACAGCCGGGCACAGTGGCTCAAGCCTGTAACCCCAGCACTTTGGGAGGCCGAAGCAGGCGGATTATGAGGTCAAGAGATTGAGACCATCCTGGCCATCCTTTACCAACATGGTAAAACCCCATCTCTGCTAAAAATACAAAAACTAGCTGGGTGCGGTTGCGCATGCCTGTAGTCCCAGCTACTCAGGAGGCAGAGGTTGCAGTGAGCCGAGATCGTGCCACTGCACTCCAGCCTGGCAACAGCAAGACTCCATCTCCAAAAAAATCAAAACAAAACAAACAAAAAAAACACTCACATCTATATTGCAAAGCATAAAATATACAACCTTTACAGGCCGAATAAACTTTCCCAGAGATTGAACTTTGTTTTAATAGCTTTTAAAATAGTCATTTAAACCAGCAATTTTCTATTTGTCAATTCAAATGGCACTTGCAGCTCTGTTAAAAGGAGATTAAAGGCCAGGTATGATAGCTCATGCCTGTGATCCCAGCACTTTGGGAGGGTACGGCGAGTTGATTGCTTGAGCCCAGGAGTTCAGCACCAGCTTGGGGAACATAGTGAGACTCTGTCTCTACAAAAAATAAAGAAGATAGCCAGGCATGGTGGTACAAGCCTGTGGTCCCAGGCAGTGGAGCAGTGTCGAGGTTGCCATGAGACGAGATGGTGCCACTGAACTCTAGCCTGGGTGACAGAGTGAGACCCTGCCTCAAAAAATAAAAATAGTCAAAAATACACAAAGAAGTATGACACAATCCCTGTCCTCAAGATTTAACAGGTGAGAAAAGTAACATATATACAAGGCAGAAACAACAAAGAGGCATGGTGACTTGGAATACTCCGGTTAATCTGTGGAATAGATGGTCTCTTAGAGTTTGAAACCAAGCTGACTCTTGAAAAATGAACATCAGAAGAAAATGGAGAAGAGTGACACAGGTAGGAAACAATGGCATAAATAAACCCACAAGCAATGAAGCAGCAGGGTGATGGGCTCCAAATGGAGAGGGATAAGATAGGAGGTTGAAGGGTAGGGGGAAAAAACCCAGAGGGTGTGTGCCATGGTGATGAGCTCGAATACCATTCTGTTCGTAATGAAGAAGCACTCAAGAGTTTTAAGCAGGGGAATAATATTGTAAGATTTACTATCTTTTTAAAAGATTGATCACTTTTATAGTTTTAGGCATTGTAATTAAGGGATACTAAGATAAATCAGCTAGAAAGCTGCAAGCATAAAAGGGGAGGACCTTGTGACAGAAGAAGGATGAGACACAACAGATTCTTCAAAGGACAAATTAACAGAATGTAGACAACTGAGATAACTTTTAGAAGTTATTATGACAAATAACAGAGATAACTGACAGACAGCTCCGGGCACGGTGGCTCACACCTGTAATCCCAACACTTTGGGAGGCTGAGGCAGGCAGATCACTTGAGATCAGGAGTTCGAGACCAGCCTGGCCAACATGGTGAAAGCTGTCTCTACTAAAAATACAAAATTTAGCCAGGCGTGGTGGTGTGCGCCTGTAGTCCCAGCTACTTGGAAGGTTGAGGGAGGAGAATCACTTGAACCTGGGAGGTGGAGGTTGCAGTGAATTGAGATCACACCACTGCACTCCAGCCTGAGTAACAGAGCAAGACTCTGTCTCAAAATAAATAAATAAATAAATAAAAAAGTAAGAAAAAGAAAGGTACATAGTTATGACAAAGCCAGTTCAAACGAGCTCCATTTAACTTTTTTAGGTTTTGTCACAGGGTACACCTAATTTGTTTCCCTCCATGTTTCTTTTTTTTTTGAGACAGAGTCTCACTCTGTCACCTAGACTCGAGTGCAGTAGTGAGATCTCAGCTTGCTGCAACCTCTGCCTCCTGGGCTCAAGCGAGCCTCCCTTTTCAGTCTCCTAAGCAGCCGGGACTACAGGCACGCACCACCATGCCTGGCTTATTTTTTTTTTTAGTAGAGATGGGGTTTCACCATGTTGCCCAGGCTGGTCTCAAGCTCTTGAACTCAAGCCATCCACCCACCTTGGCCTCCCAAAATGCTATAATTACAGGCATGAGCCACAGTGCCTGGCCTAGCCTCCATGATTCTTAAACATACCATTAAATATGTAAACATTTTCTGAAGCTCCAGAAGAGTGGTCTTGTGCTTCATATCCTCTGAATACTGAAAATCAAGAGAAAACACCATTAAAAACACAGACATGATGGTAGTAAATTAGGCATTCTAGCAAAGAAAGTCTTGCAATGTACACTGTATCTGTTTTCATTCTTTTGGCTATATAAAAGAAAAACACCAACACATTCAATTCTTTAGTAATTATAGCATTAAAAATTGTAATGCTTTGTTACATAAATACAGCTATTACTATCTTATAAGGAAACCGAAGAGAGAATTTTAAAAATCACTTTCTAGGTTAACACTTATTTGGTACAATGCTGATGATTTCCAAGAATGCAAGAATGAAAAACACTTCAGGTGCAATCAAAGTTGTCTTCCACAAGTAAACCTACACATTAAAAAAATACATTTGAAATATTAACCAATGACATCTCATCATCATTTATTCATATCTTTACTCTTTCTGGAACAGTATATTCTTCACACTGAAGAGGAATACCAGCCAGGATCTTTGAAAACTGTCTAAATATTCAACTATCAATAAGTCAAATTCAGGAATCTGGCTAGACTCACACATTAGAGATTTAGTATTGAACACCAAGCCTTATAGGAAAGATCCATATTCATGCAAGGTACTTATTACACATATTCCACCTCACTCAAGTATTAAAATGAATCTATAAAGTAGGTATTATTCTTATTACAAATTATTACCTCTCATAACTTTGAAAGTCTTGTGGAATAATAGGCGTCCACAAGCTAAGAGTATACATTAGTTATTTTTGCCAGCTTTATGGAAGACTGCAAGTAATATGGCTCTGCTGTTTAGCAGCTTATAATCAAATTGAAGTCAAGATATGGACTAAAACAGAGATCTGTTCAGCATATAATTACTATAAAATTATATATTAAACTCAACAGGAATTGAACAAAGGGAATCAACAAAATTGGCAAAATAATTCCAGTGTACTCCTGTTATATGAGAGGCTTAATATTCCATATTACGAAAAAAGTCACACAAAATGAAATTTTCCAACGTATCAAAGTATTGATTCAGGATACAAAAAAGTTCAGGAATAAAGACCTGGATTTATATTTTTATTATTAGAGAATGAAGTATGAGTTGGCTAAAGAGCTGCCTAAATTTATTAAAGTCAAGCAACAACAAGGGAATTTTACTTAATGCGCAATTTTTAAATAAATACATAGCCTGCATCTATATGTATTTACTACTTAAAAAATTGTGTTCACATCCATTAGGATGGCTATTATTAAAACAAACAGAAAATGTCAAGTGTTAGCAAGGACGTCGAGAAATTAAACCCTTATGCATGCAAAACGGTGTAAGCCCTATGGAAAAGGTAAGGCTATTCCTCAAAAAACTAAACACACAATTCCCATATGATCCAACAATTCCACTTCTGGGTATACACCCAAAAGTAGTAAAAGCAGGAACTCAAACATGTTTGTACACCCATGTCCGTAACAGCATTATTCACAACAGCCAAAAGGTGAAAGCAACCCAAGTATCCACTGATAAGTGAAAGAATAAATAAAATGTGGTAAATACAATAAATTATAATTCAGCCTTAAAAAGGAAAGAACTTCTGACACATACAACAGCATGGATAACCCTTGAAGATATCCTAAGTGAAATAAGCCACTCACAGCCAGTCACAAAAAGACAAATCTGACTCCACTTATATGAGGTACCTGAAACAGTTGAATGCATAGAGATGGAAAGTAGAATAGTGGTTGCAAGGGGGGTTGGGAGGGAGAATGGAGAGTTAAGTGTTTAACAAGTTTCTGTTGGGAAGGTGAAAAAGTTCAAGATGGAATGGTGGTGATGGCTGCAAAATAATGTGAATGTATTTAATCCCATCAACTGTATATATGTATAAATGGTTAAAATGATGAATTTAATGTTGCATATATTTTACCACAATTAGAATATATGTAGCTTTCTTTAAACTTCATGTGAGCATCAGAAAAGGGAATAATATAATTAACTGAAGTGTTCATCTTAAGAATAAAGTGCCCACTTGACTAGAGTACTTGCCAGAATCATATCAAATTCTGTTAAGAATTTTTGGCTGGGCGCGGTGGCTTACATCTGTAATCCCAGCACTTTGGGAGGCCGAGGCGGGGGGATCACGAGGTCAGGAGTTTGAGACCAGCCTGGCCAAGATGGTTAAACCCTGTCTCTGCTAAAAATACAAAAATTAGCCAGGTGCCTGTAATCCCAGCTATTCGGGAGGCTGAGGCAGGAGAACTGCCGGAACCCAGGAGGCAGAGGTTGCAGTGAGCCAAGATCGCGCCACTGCACTCTAGCTTGGGTAACAAAGCAAGACTTCGTCAAAAAAAAAAAAAAAAAAAAAAAAAAAAATATATATATATATATAGATAGATAGATAGATAGATAGATATAGAAATATATGTACACAGGTCTCCTTTTTTTTTTTACTGTTTACTCTTATTTTAGGTTCAGGGGTACATATGCAGGTTATATAGGTAAACCGTGTGTCACGTAAGTTTGGTATATAGATTGTTCTATCACCCAGGTAATAATAGTACCAATAGGTAGTTTTTCAATCCTGTTCCTCTTCCCACACTCCACCCTCAGGTAGGACACAACGTCCATTGTTCCTGTGTGTCCATATGTACTCAATATTTAGCTCCCACTTATAAGTGAGAACATATGGTATTTGGTTCCCTGTTGCTATGTTAGTTCACTTAGGATAATGGCCTCCAGTTCCATACATGTTTTTGCAAAAGACATGGTCTTGTTCTTTTTTTATGGCTGCATAGTGTTCTATGCTGTATATGTACCACATTTTCTTTATCTAGTCCACTGTTGATGGGCATGTAGGTTGATTCCATGTTTTTGCTAGTGTGAACACTGCTGTGGTAAACATGCTTGTGGATGTGTCTTCATGGTAGGATGATTTATATTCCTTTGGGTATATACCCAATGGAATAGCTGAGCCGAATAGTAATTCTGTTTAAAGTTCTTTCAGAAATTGCCAAGCTGCTTCTCACAATGGCTGAACTAATTTACATTTCCATCAGCAGTGTATATGCATTCCCTTTTCTTTACAACATCGCCAGCATCAGTTATTTTTTGACTTTTTATTAACAGCTATTCTGACTGGTTTGAGATGTTATCTCACTGTGGTTTAGTTTTGTATTTCTCTAATGATGAGTAATACTGAGCATTTTTTCATATGCTTATTGGCCGCATGTATGTCTCCTTTTGAAAAGTGTCTGTTCATGTCCTTTGTCCACTTTTTTTTTTAAGATAGAGTCTTGCTCTGTCACCCAGACTGGAATGCAGTGGCACAAACTCGGCTCACTGCAACCTCCGCCTCCCAGGTTCAAGCGATTCTCCTGGCCCAGCGTCCCGAGTAGCTGGGACTACAGGCACGCACCACCACACATGGAATTTTTTTTTTTTTTTTTTTTTTTTTGAGAGAAGTCTCGCTCTTGTCCCCAAAGTTTGAGTGTAATGGCTCGATCTCAGCTCACTGCAACCTCTGCCTCCCGGGTTCAAACAATTCTCCTGCCTCTGACTCCCAAGTAGCTGGGATTAAGTCACCTGCCATCATGCCTGGCTAATTTTCATATTTTTTAGAGGAGACATGGCTTCACTATGTTGGCCAGGCTGGTCTCAGACTCCTGACCTCAGGTGATCCGCCCGCCTCGGCCTTCCAAAGTGCTGGGATTACAGGCGTGAGCTACTGCGCCTGGCCAAAGGCTTTTTTTTTTTTTGAGACAAAGTCTCGCTCTGTCGCCTAGGCTGCAGTGCATTGGCGCCATCTTGGCTCACTGCAACCTCCGCCTCCTGGGTTCAAGGGATTCTCCTGCCTCAGCCTCCCAAATAGCTGGGATTAGAGGTACCCACCACCATACCCAGCTATTTTTTTTGTATTTTTAGTAGAGATGGGGTTTCACCATGTTGGCCAGCATGGTCTTGATCTCCTAACCTCGTGATCCACCGACCTCTGCCTCCCAAAGTGCTGGGATTACAGGCGTGAGCCACCACACCCCACACGCAGCTAATTTTTGTATATCTGGTAGAGATAGGGTTTCACCATACTGGCCAAGCTGCTTTGTCCACTTTCTAATGGGGTTGTTTCTGCTTGTAAATTTAGTTTTTAACTAAAAATACCGTTTATGAGATCTACTCATAATCAGCACATCTGAGTGTTCCTTCTGTTTCTACTAATTCCTAGAAGTGTTAATAGCTTTAAAGGTGGTTATCAATATGAAGAAGTAAAACCAAGAAGCATGACCAAGTTGCCAGCTAAAAAGAAAACCACTGAAAACATGCTTCTTTGATAACTGCTTTTATAAGACTACGCAGATGGGTATACCAAATTTATTCAGAAATATTTCCATAAGCTAAATGAACTAATCATTCAACTACTTTTAGTCATAATGTACAGAGATAAATTTTAAAGTATCAATAACTAAAGCCAAAAAACCCAGAACCACTTGGGTAAACTATGAACTGGAGACTTTAAAGAGTAACTTAAACATAATAAATAATTCAGTGAAAGTATATAAAGCACTGCAATACTTAACAGGGAAAAAGAAATCAAGACAAAAGATAACATGATGAGGCCAGGCTTGGTAGCTTTATACCAATAATCCCAGTACTTTGGAAGGCCAAGGTAGAAGCATCTTGTAAGCCCAGGATTTGAGACCAGCCTGGGCAACACAGTGAGACCCTGTCTCTACAAAAAGTAAAAGTAAAAAACTCCGCCAGGCATGGTGGCATATGCCTGCAGTCCCAGTTACTCAGGAGGCTGAGGTGGGAGGATCACTTGAGCCCAGGAGGTCAACACTGCAGTGAGCTGTGCTCACACCACTGCACTCCAGTCAGGGTGACAGACACTGAGTCCTGCCTCAAAAAAATAAAAATAAAAAATCCAAGAGCAAGTATAAAGGAAATTCATCAAAAAACTCTAAAAGCAGTACAAAAGGCAAACTAAAAAATAGCCCATAGTTGGCCGGGCATGGTGGCTCACACCTGTAATCCCAGGACTTTGGGAAGCTGAAATGGGAGGATTGCTTGAGGCCAGGAGTTGGAGACCAGCCTGGTCAACACAGAGAGACCTCATCTCTATTTATTATTTTAAAAAACAAAAATAGCCCACGGTAAAAAAGAATGAAAACTAGAAAGTGAATAAAAATAACATGAAGCAGAGCTTACACAAACAAATTAGGTCCACAATTTGATTCACTTTGGGATAAATATAAAAGAAACAAGCTAAGTGATTCTGGTAATACTTCTCTACTTGGATTCAGGGTTTCCTTATTTTCTCTGTAATAAAAATATGTATTTATTTATTTTTGTTTTTTATTCTCATATGTTCTCCCAGTGAATGCGTTTTTACTGACAACATGATATTCATTGTATACACTGAGCATGCATATTCCATAGCTGTGTTTTCCTTTGAGAACTAAACTGTACTACAGCATTATGAGTAATCTACTAAAATGTATAACTATGTAAAATACACATTAGCTAGTTACTGTAATCAAATTTACTTTTATTCACAAATTATTTTTTCAAACATTTACTACATTGAAATAAAAATTTATCAACAAAATATTAAAATCTGGTTTATAATTTTGATTTTTAAAGTGAGGAAAATTCTACCTTGGCAGTGAAGACAGCCTGTCTTGCCTCAGGTATCATATAAAGTTGCTGAATAGTAGAAGCTAAGTAACAAGTAGCTCCAAGGTTAGTAAGGCCAACAAATCTACATTCAGCACGGACATCTTCATGAGGCCAGTAATCCCATTTATAAGGTGCATGGGCTGCTGAAGAAAGAGGGAGGAAAAGATCCCCCCCAAACAAACTATGAAACACAATGTATTTTGCTTACATTAACAGCCTCTACCTCCATTAGTTACCTCATTAATATATATAGAACATTATATAGAATTTTTTAAATAAAAAAAAATACAGATGAAAACTAATTTATTCTCTAAAAATTCAAGACTTTTAAAACTTGATTTTACTTGGCCCCAAATTACTTTTACAGAAAAAGCCGAAGTATTTAAAATGCATATAAAAAGGTCCTTCACATCAATGTTTACTTTTTAACTTTAATAACACCCTACCAATAATCATTTATAATGTTAAAGTGTGTGAAGAGCAGATTCTTTTGTTAAACAGTGCCCTCAAAATCTTATTTCTGAATTCAAAATCTATAAAGATTAAAGGAAAAGAAGAATGCTTACACTGCATGTGTTGTGCCATAACCCAGTTGTGTATTAGCCTGTAGTTCTCAACAGACCCCTTTACCATCTCTACTAACAAATCGTAAGCGGCAGCTCTTGAAGAATGTGATTTGCACTTTGGCTGTTGTCGGTCCTTTAGACTTGGCAACAAAAACAGGAGATTGAAGATATCTCTCAAAAATTCCTGGGGAGTAAAAGGAAACATGTTATCTAAACTGAGATATTAATTACATTCCAAATATAGTTAACATATACACAGGATGACAGGCTACAATTAAGCTACTCAAAAACGTATAGCAGCATGATATACCATCATCTGAAAGTCCTCCGTGTTCATTTCTCTTAAGAGAAAACGAAGGCGGCGATCAACTTTTACTCTTCTCTCCTTTTTGATACCTAATAAGCTCATTCTTAGACTCTTCACGTACAATGTTGTTATTTTCTATTCCATTAAGTGATGTAAAGTTTTTGTTAAGGCCTCATTATTCCCTTGACAAGTCTGACTGGCGCTTCTGCATTAACTTTCCCCTTACTTCACTCTACTAATAAATAATAGCAACAATAACAGTGGCAAAATCAACAGTTTACTTATACTGTTGAAAGGTAGTACTGTTGTACTTTTTCCAAAATTAAGTCTGTCTGAGAAAGTGGGTGCTGGGTTATCTTTTCCACTTATTCTTTTCTAATTGGTCCTTTGCTATTTTACCAAGTTATCACCCTCACACATCCCAAATAGTACTATGGTACATTGGTCTGCAGTATAAAACCTCCTGGAGTACTGTGCAGAAAAGAGATAGCACAGTAAGACTGAGACTCTTGATACCCACAGAAAGGCTGACCTTTGCCTACAGTCTGCAAACGTCACTGGTAAGTAAACAGCTCCCTACATTGATACAAAACTCTCTAAGTGAAAACAGTGGCTCACTGTGCCTAACGGGTTTATGCTAAAGACCTGTTTTCCTTTCAGGAGTCTGGAGTTGGGGCAACTATGGTGAGTTATCCAGTCACTATGTGCCCACATGAGCCACCCTGTGATAAAACCAAGGACTCCTAGGCTCAAGAGAACGTTCTTGGTATACAATACATCACATGCGTTGTCATGCTCACTGAACACATCTTGTGGAACTCCAATGGAAGACAACCCTTGGTTAAGTTGCAACTGGCTTCCTCCAGACTTCGCCTTGACACCTTTTTCTTTTCATGATTTTGCTTTGTATCATTTTGCTGTAATAAATCTTAGCCATGAGTATAACTATATGCTGAGTCCTGTGAGTTAGTGAATCAACAAACCTGGGGGTGGTCAGGGAAACTCTTGAAAGACGTACCAAAAACAGAAATTTTTGAAATGTTTTTCCATAATGACCTCACCTCTTTCATCTATTGTTAAAGAATGTGTAATTCATAGTTCTTAGCAAAGAAACGTTAAGTTTAGCTAGGAAATATGGAAAGTGGTTAGGAGATTTTTTTTTTTTTTTTGGAGACAGAATCTCACTCTGTCACCTGGGATGGAATGCAGTGGCACAATCTCGGCTCACTGCAACCACCGCTGCCCAGGTTCGAGCGATTCTCCTGCCTCAGCCTCCCAAGTAGCTGGGATTACAGGCACCTGCCACTACACCCAGCTAATTTTTTGTGGTTTTGTTTGTTTGAGACAGAGTCTTGCTCTGTCGCCCAGGCTGGAGTGCAGTGGCGCCATCTCGGCTCACCCCAAGCTCCACCTCCCGGGTTCATGCCATTCTCCTGCCTCAGACTCCCAATTAGTTGGGACTACAGGCGCCCACCACAACACCCGGTCTTAATTTTTTGTATTTTTTAGTAGAGACGGGGTTTCACTGTGTTAGCCAGGATGGTCTCGATCTCCCGACTTCGTGATCCATCTGCCAGCCTCGGCCTCCCAAAGTGCTGGGATTACAGGCGTGAGCCACCGCACCCAGTTAATTTTTTGTATTTTTAGTAGAGATGGGGTTTCACGATGTTGGCCAGGCTGGTCTCGGCCTCCTGACCTTGTGATTCGCCAGCCTCAGCCTCCCAAAGTGCTGGGATTACAGATGTGAGCCACTGCACCTGGCAAAGGGCTTATTTTTATAAGCCTTTCACAGAAAGAACCTACTCATATACTTCACAGAAAGAAGAACCTACACAGACTATGACCTCAGAGAATATTAAAAATAGTTTTTGGTGACTGATATGGTTTGGGTATTTGTCCAATAAAAGAACTGTTGTCTTAGTCTGTTTAGGCTGCTGTAATAAAATATTGTAAACTGGGCCGGGTACAATGGCTCACATCTGTAATCCCATTTCACCACATCTAATGGTGAAATGTGCTCCCCAATGTTGGAGGTGAGGTCTAGTGAGAGGTGTTCGAGTCATCAGGGTGTATCCCTGAAGAGCCTGGTACCTACCACACAGGAATGAGTGAGTTCTCACTCTTTGAGTTCATGCAAGAGCTGTTGTTAAAAAAAAAAAAAAAAAAAAAAAAAAAAAAGTGTTGCACCTCCCACCTCCCTTTCTCGCCATGTGACACAGCTGTTCTCTCATGGCCTTCTGCCATGAGTAAAAGGCTCCTGAGTCCTCAACAAATAAACCTCTTTTTTTATACCCAGCATCAGGTATTCCCTTATAACACCGCAAAATGAACTAATACAGCAATAGATAATAGGGTAATTTTTGACTTATAATTCAGAAGAAATTCAATTTAAAAAGTTATCAAAAACTTCCATGTGCACTAAAAACATTATGTAAATAAGGTTTTTTAGAATTCACATATATAAAAATAGAAAATAGGAAGAGAGAATTAATGAACACTACCATTCTAGCTTAATATTCACCTACAACTATATTAATAAGGACCATCCTTCTCACTAATGCATATATTCAGTAAAATTTCATTTTTAAATGTTTCATACTAGTTTGGCAAAACAAAGTATATTTATGCTCCTTCAATTGCCATGTCCTAATAATAAATGTAATGTAATAACTAAATATAGAAGAAATTTAAGACAATATCATGTACACAGGAAATATTTTATTAACTTACATATATTTTGTTGTAGAGAAGTATGATAGGCAAATAATAAAAGATGTTCAAAGATACTAATAAATACATTACAATTACATTCTGTGGGGGAATCAAGTGGAAATACTGAGGAGGAATTAGGAAAAAATTTAGCTAAGTAAAATTTCAGAAAGGAGAGTTTGGAGACGATCTCACTCTATCACCCAGGCTAGCGACAGTGGTGGGATCATGGCTCACTGCAGCCTCAATCTCCCAGGCTCAGTCAATCCTCCCAGCTCAGCCTCCTGCGTAGCTTGGACTATAGATGCTCACCACCTTGGCTAATTTTTTTTTTTTTTTTTTTTTTAATAGAGACAGGGTTTCACCAGGTTACCCAGGCTGGTCTCCAACTCCTGGGCTCAAGCAATCCTTTTGCCTCGACCTTACAAAGTGCTGGGATTACAGTTGAGAGTTTATACATTTTAAGAGAGATGAATAAAAGTTGCTACAGCATTTACATTTCATTAATCTAAAAGAGGACCATAATTTTGTCTTTGAAAACAATAATTCAATAATTTCCTGAATGTATATTGTCTACAAAGACTTAAAATTCACAAATTTACAAATTTAAAAAATCTTTGAGGAGACACCTAGGTTTTTCAAGATTAAGAAATATGTCAACAATAAAAGTTTAAAGACCAGTGCACTCTGCTGGCTTGCAATCCATTACCAGATTTATTTTGTTAATGTACATCCTTGACATTATTTGATCAAAACCTTAAAAGGCTCCTGTTTTTACAATTATCTACTGATACATAATAATTATATATATTAATGGAATATATTATATTTTGACACATAAATACAATGTGTAATGATGAAATCAGGGTATTTGGAATACCTGTGATTTCAAGCATTTATCATTTCTTTTATTGGGAATATTTCAAATCCTCCCTTTTAGCTATTTTGAAATACACAAAAAAAATTTTTTAACAATAGTCATCCTACTATGCTACTGAGCACTAGAATTTATTACTCCAAGTGTATTTTTGTATTCATTAGCCAATCTCTCTTCATCCCATCCCTTCCCAGCCTAAAATTACAAAAGTAATTGCCATGGCCTAAATGTTTTCGTCACTCTGAAATTTGTATGTTGAAACCTAACCACCAATGTGATGGTATTAGAAGGTGGGACCTTTGGAAGGTTATTAAGTCATGAGGACTCTGCCCTTATCAACGAAGCAGTAGAGAGACCTCCTACCCCTCCCATCATCTAAGGGCTTCATGAGAAGGTGCCATCCGTGAATCAAAAAGTAGGCCTTCACAAGACTCCGTGAATCAAAAAGTAGGCCTTCACAAGACACTGTGAATCTGCCAGAGTTTTGATCTTGTACTACTCCCAGCCTCCAGAATTGTGAAAAGTAAATTTCTGTTGTTATAAGCTACCCAGTATACAATATTTTATTTTATTTATTTTTGAGAGTGTCTTGCTTTGTTGCCAGGCTGGAGTGTAGTGGCACGATCTCGGCTCACTGCAGCCTCCACCTCCCTGGTTCAAGGGATTCTCGTGCCTCAGCCTCCCGAGTAGCTGTGATTACGGGTATGCACCGCCATGCCTGGCTAATTTTTGTATTTTTAGTAGAGACTGGGTTTCACCACATTGGCCAGGCTGGTCTCAAACTCCTGAGCTCAAGCAATCCAGCTGCCTTGGCCTCCCAATGTGCTGGGATTACAGACATGAGCCACTGCGCCTGGCCCAGTTTACAATATTTTATTACAGCAGCCTGAACAGACTAAGACAATAATGCTTTCATTTTATATATAAAAATAATTTCCTGTGCCCACAATAGATGGCCACCAAGTTTCTCCTATACTTCCTAAAACATAGGCTAAACTGAACCAACCAATTTTCTGCATGAAACCATTGCTTTCCTATGACTTAATTTTTACTCATATTCTTTCCTATGAGTTAAATGTTTCCCTTACTTTTCTACAAAAGATATCCATTAAAAAAGCTGTATCTGGCCAGGCGCGGTGGCTCATGCCTGTAATCCCAGCACACTGGGAGGCTAAGGTGGGCGGATCATCTGAGGTCAGGAATTCGAGACCAGCATGGCCAACATGGTGAAAACCCGCCTCTACAAAAACAAAACAAAACAACAACAACAAAAATTTAGCTGGGTGTGGTGACACACGCCTGTAATCCCAGCTACTCTTTGGGAGGCTGAGGCAGGGGAATCGCTGGAACCTGGAAGGCAGAGGTTGCAGTGGACCGAGATCGCACCACTGCACTCCAACCTGGGTGAAGCTTTATCTTCTTCAAAGCCTTTCCTAATCATGTCAATGCAATCTGATCTTCTAAATCTCTGATGATATCTCTTTTTAATAACTATTATTTATTTCCATGAAGTATAAATATCATGAGCAGCCATAATTTTAAGGGTACACGCAAATTTTGCATAAGACAAATGTACTGTTTGACTGTCAGTTCTAAGAATCAGGTCTGAGTTGCAATCATCCATTTGCTCAACATAGTTTTTAGACACTATGCAAGGCAATAGAGATAGGAATGATACTCATACTTTAAAAGGAGAAGAAAGGAGGAATGCAAAAGGAGGAAAAAAGGAAGAAAAAGGAAGGGAGGAGGAGAAAGAAAGGAAGAATGAAGATTAGCACTACTGGAAAGGTAAAAGAAAGAAGAAAGAGGAGAAAGGAGGGGAAGAAGGGGGAAGGAGGAGGAAGCAGTAGTAGTGATAGTGGTAGTGTTGCTGATGACAGATTATTATGCAGCTGCAAAGTGTAAAATATTTATCATGTTTCTTTATAGAAAAAATTTACCAAATTCTGCATGAAATTCAGTTCTAGAACTATTTTTTAAAAATACTTAAGGAAAAAAGTAAAAATCATTAGAGTGGAAGAGATTTTAAATATCTTGGAGTTAAGGCATATTTTCCTTAATATTACAAGAAAACCAACTGCCTTTAATACCTCTACTTGGATATCTAATTGACATTTCAAATTTAACATTTCCAAAACAGAACTCTTGGTTTTACCGCCTATTACCCTCTGACATTTCTGAGTTTTTCTTTTCTTAATAATTGGCATTACCATTCCCTCAGCTTCTCAGGCTTAAAATTCAGGAGTCATTCTTGGCCGGGCACGGCGGCTCACGCCTGTAATCCCAGCACTTTGGGAGGCAGAGGCGGGCAGATCGTGAGGTCAGGATATCGAGACCATCCTGGCTAACATGGTGAAACCCTGTCTCTACTAAAAATACAAAAAATTAGCTGGGTGTGGTGGCGGGCACCTGTAGTCCCAGCTACTTGGGAGGCTGCAGCGGGAGAATGGTGTGAACCTGGGAGGCAGAGCTTGCAGTGAGCCAAGATCATGCCACTGCACTCCAGCCTGGGTGACAGAGGGAGACCCCATCTCAAAAAAAAAAAAAAAAAAAAATTAGGAGTCATTCTTTATTAACCTCTCTCAAATCCAACATATATATCCAAATCTGAGACCTGTGAGCTCTACCTTCAATAAATATTCCACGTCAAAGCACTTTTCACCATTGTCCCTCTCTGGAACCATCGAAAAACTTCCTAACTGGATCCCTTGACTCATACATTTGCCCTTTGAGTTTGCCCACAGACTAATTTTCCAACTAGCATACGAGTAAACCCTCTGAAATGTTAATTCAGATCACATCTCTCCTGTATGAAAGCTTCTAAAGTTTTCCCTTAACACTGAAACGAAGGGGAAATTATAATTTGACATGAACATGAAGACCTTTTCAATAAAGAATGCTAAGAACAACTAACTTAACATTATTCTGAATGTTTCAGAAAAAATTTGGTGAAGAAATGGAAAGAGTTAAACTTGTAAAACAGGAAGTAATAGAATTACTTGCAGATGATTGTGACATGAGTCTGCTTGGGGAAAATAAAAGAAAAACAAGAATTACTTGCAGATAATAAACCAAAAACAAATGAAGAACCAAAGAACACTAACAGCTAAAGATAACTGAAAACAGTCTACCAACAATAAGTCAATTTCAGATGGCCTGCAACAACTGTATACACAAATTCTTACTACACATAAATGACAAGTTAAAAAACATAAGCAATGATTCCATATCAACATACCAACAAAAAGGACAAAACTCCTAAGAATAAACTTACTAAGAAATACTTAAAACCTAAATTTTGTAGGAAAAAGAATCTTCTAAATAAAAAACATAAAACGATTGGCTTTGCATAAATACAACAAATCATACTCTTCCACAGGCAAATTGAGTATCATAAAGTTAATTCTGCATCAATCTGGAAATATAATACAATCTCAACCAAAAAAGTAACACAATTTTATTTTTTTAAAGAACTAGATGAACTGATTCTAAAGTTTATGTGGAAAAATAAACAGCCAGGAAAATACTGAAAAGAAATAATAATGAAAATGGACTACCTTGGTCAGGCGTGGTGGCTCATGCTTGTAATCCCAGCACTTTGGGAGGCCGAGGCAGGCGAATCACCTGATGTCAGGAGTTTGAGACCAGCCTGACCAACATGGTGAAACCCTTCTCTATCAAAGATACTAAAATTAGCTGGGTGTGGTGCCAGGTGCCTGTAGTCTCAGCTACTCAGGAGGCTGAGGCAGGAGAATCGCTTGAACCTGGAGGGCAGAGGTTACAGTGAGCCACTGCACCACTGCACTCCAGCCTGGGTGACAGAGTGAGACACTGTCTCAAAAAACAAACAAAGGGACTATCTCTACAGGATATTAAATCTACATAATTAAGATATGATATTGGTGAATGAACAAACAAATCAATAAGATGAAACAGAAAGTCCAGAAATACATATGGTAGTTTATTTGAAAAAGGAAGCATTTGTAATCAGTAGAAAAAAAATAAATTAGTTAATTATTAGGATAACTGGGTACATATCTGAAAAAAAGTTATCCATTTCATTCCTTTCACCTAAACAATTTCCTGATAGAAAAACTTAAATGTAAAATATTAAGTTATGAAAGCATGAAAAAACAGGGAGTTTTTAAAAGTATAACACAGTATCTAGTAGCTGTAAAAGATCAATACACCTGACTACATGAAAAAAAAATTCTGGCTTCGAAAATAAGCAGGCCAGGTGAGGTGGTTCACGCCTGTAATGCCAGCACTTTGGGAGGTCAAGGTGGGCTGGTCACCTGAGGTCAGGAGTTCAAAACCAGCCTGGCCAAAATGGCGAAATCCGGTCTCCACTAAAAATACAAAATTTAGCCAGGCATGGTGGTGCATGCCTGTAATCCCAGCTAGTAGGGAGGCTGAGGCAGGAGAATTGCTTGAACCTGGGAGGTGGAGGTTGAGGTAAGCTGAGATCATGCCACTGCATTCCAGCCTAGGCAACAGAGCAAGACTCTGTCTCAAATAAATAAATAAATAAGAAACAAGCATAACAAAAAACATGAAGTCAAGACAGAAAAAAAAAAAAAACTTGCAATTCATATTACAGTGAGATAGTTTCCTTAATATAAAATATTCTACAAATTAGTTAAGGACTATAACATACATAACAGGGATAAAGGAAAAGGATCTGAGCAGTCAGAGAAAAGATAACACAAATGGCTTTCAAACACTTGAAGGGAAGTTCAGCCTTACTAATAAAAATAATACAAAATAAAACCAAGAGAATCTCTTTGCACCTATCAGACTGGTAGAAATTATCTAAACGTATAGTATGTTGGTAGAAATGCTGGAAAATTGGAAATTAATCTCAGGTTGTAGGTACAGCCATAAATTGGCTCAGCTTCCACAGACAGTTAACTTGGTTTTCGTTTTTAACATAACCAAAACTATAAACGTATACTCCATGAACTAGCAGTTCTAACTTTTAGAATGTCTTCCTACATTTCCTAAATCTATGTGTTAAATGTATAAAGATCTCTGTAATATCACTAGAAATAGTTTAAGACAATGTTGATCATTATGAAGCTAAATATATTACATATATGCAGATAAAATAATATTCTGGGCCAGGCATGGTGGCTCATGCCTGTAATCCTGGCACATTAGGAGGCCAAGGCAGAAGGACTGCTTGAGCCCAGGAGTTTGAGACCATCCAGGGCAACATGGCGAAATCCCGTCTCTACAAAAGATTTTTAAAAATTAGCCGGGTATGGTGATGCCTGCCTGTAGTCCCAGCTGCTTGGGAGGCTGAGGTGGGAGGACTGCTTGAGCCTGGGAGGTGGAGGTTGCAGTGAGCTGAGATCATGCCACTGAAGTCCAGCCTGGGTGACAGAGCCAGACCCCGTCTCAAAGATAATAACAATAATATTTTGAAGTTACTTTTACAAAATGAATAGCCAAGCATGGCGGTGTGCGTTGGCTCACATCGGTAATCCCAACAGTTTGGGAGGCCAAGACGGGAGGATCACTTAAGGGCAGGAGTTTAAGAACAGCCTGGGCAACACAGCAAAACCCCATCTCTACAAAAATAAATAAATAAATAAATTAGCTGGGTGTGATGGCGTATGCCTATAATCCTAGACACCTGGGAGGTTGGGGCAGGTGAATCACTTGATCTAGTAGTTCAAGGCTGCAATGAGCTATGATTGTGCCCCTGCACTGCAGCTTGAATAAGGAGACCCTGTCCCTTTTTTTTTTTTAAATGAACTGTTTATATACTGAATTTGAAAATATCTAAGATAGGTGAAAAAAAGCAAAGTATAGAACACTGTGTTTAATGTGTTATCATGTGTAGACAGTATTGTATAATGGTTAAAAGCTTGGCCAAGTGAAGAGTAAGTGACTCAGTCATGCACAACTCGTTTAACCTGTCTATGCCTCAGTTTCATCATCTGTCAAAATTGGGTCTAATAATATCCACCTTTTAAAGCCTCAAAAATTTGTCCTAGGATGACAACTTGTATAAATCAATAAACAGAAGAGAAGTAAAAAAATAGTAATAATAAAGAGAAATAAGACTTTGGAAAAAATACATGCAGCAAATATGATATAAAGAGCTGACATATTCAAAATAAATAACTTTTACAAATGAATGGGAAACCATATACTGACTGAACAAATAAATATCAAATACAAACAATAAGTAAATGGAAAGAAACCCATTCACCAATTAACAAAGAAATAAAACTAAATCAACATCAAAATTGGCAAATATCTCAGTGACATAAGAATCTGCAGATGCTTGAAAAAGGCATTCTCATACAGTGTGGCTACAAGTGTAAAATGATGTATCCTTTTGTATACTAACATAAACTACGGATTAAAATCAACCTATTTTACTTTTAAGAGTTCTTGAGTAAATAATGGGACAAGTATGCAAAGATGCTGCCTTTACAGTTTTTTCTATAACTTCATAAATGTCAAAGATTTAAATTATTGCCTCTTAGTCAATTTTTAAAAATACATTTTCTTTTTTAATGTACTCATTTTTTAGTGAAAATCGATCACAGAATACTATTTATAAACTGTAAAATTTCTATAAATATGAATTTTATACATGCGTATTTACTGTATCCATGAAAAGTCCTGGAAGGCCATCACCATAGCATGAGAGGAAATCAAACCAAATGGGAATATTCTTTTTTTGTACTATCTAAAATTATTTTTTCTTAACAATGACTTTTGCTTTACAACGTTATCAGAAAAACCAATTAATATATTTATATTTGGGGATAAAAGTTATATACTAGTTTATATATAAGAGAAGACTTCAATCAACAAGGCTGTAAATCTATCAAATCATTTCCAGTGAGTCTAATGGAAAAGGCAAAAAACCTGAAAGAAATAGCACAAGAAGGAGTTTTGTGCATTAGGGGAAGTAGCAAAGATTTCAAACAGATAAGACTGTAATCTTAAGTTGATCTCAAGAATCCTTTAGTCTATGCCTATGAGGACAATCTTCTATCCTTTTGGTTGCTATTTCCTAACACATTCAGTAACTTTAAGGTAACAGCTCTCCAGACCATAACAAATTCCTACAATGACCAGGACAAATGCACCAATGTTAAGGTAAGATGAACTATTTAATCAAGAGACAATCAAAATGAGACATTTGTTGGTTCAGAGTCACGAAGTGTTTCCAATATTCAGAGATAGATTTCATGTCACACAGGTCTTTAAAATATGAAACGAGTACCCAATAATGACTACTTACTAATTCCACTGTATTAGGATATGATTCACAGTTTAGGACAGTAATTCAAAATATACAATTCTATAGAAAGCACACTGATAAAATATAGGTTACCTTTTTTTTTTTTTTTTTGAGACACGTTCTCCTTCTGTCACCTAGGCTACAGTGCAGTGGTGTGATCATGGCTCACTGAAGCCTCGACCTCCTGAGCTCAAGCAATCCTCCCACCTCAGCCTCCTGAGTAGCTGAGACTACAGGTGTGTGCCACCACACCCAGCAAATTTTTGTATTTTCTGTAGGGATGAGGTTTCACCATGTTGCCTTGGCTGGTCTCGAACTCCTGGTTTCAAGCAATCCACCTACCTCAGCCACTCAAAGTGCTAGGACTATAGGCACGAGCCACCGTGCCCAGCCTTAGGTTACCTTTCTATATTCAGTCAGTCACAGGAATTAACATCTGATTTTGTATTCTAAAAACAAGCCCGTTTTATATTTCCAGAATTCAATTTATTCAAAATTTGCTTTTCTTGTCGGTAATTTCTAGCAATTTTTATGTCTGTATGTTTAAAAAAATTAACATATCCACATACAATGTGATACAGTTTGGCCGTGTCTCCACCCAAATCTCATCTTGAATTATATTGCCTATAATTCCCATTGTTGTGGGAGGGACCTGGTGGGAGATGACTGAATCATGGCGGCGGTTTCCCCCATACTGTTCTTGTGATAAGTGAATAAGTCTCTTGAGATCTGATGGTTTTATAAGGAGAAACCGCTTTCGCTTGGTTCTCATTCTTTTTTTGCCTGCCGCCATCCACATAAGATGCGACTTGCTCGGACTTGCCCGGACTTGCCTTCCGGCACGATTGTGAGGCCTCCCCAGCCACATGGAACTCTGAGTCGAATTAAACCCTTTTCTTTTGTAAACTGCCCAGTCTCGGGTATGCCTTTATGAGCAGTGTAAAAACGGACTAATACACAATGTAACAACAAAAAATTTCAATCACATTTCATAGAAACATTTGATTATCTTAACACTTACCTGTCCTTCCCTTGAAAATTTAAAGGGTGGTTTGTGTTTAACAACACTTGTTGCAAGCCTTAGGAGTCCTGTAAGCCCATCATCTTCTACATTACCATCCTGATGATCAAGGATCTCCCTACTACAAAAAAGAAAAAAAATACACACAAGCAAGATAGTTCACATAATTATGTCTTTTATCTTTCCTCGACAATATAAATGTCAATTTCACATCAAATTTTACCTTCGAATACAGTCAGCCAAATGTCTTGCCAAGGCATCTAAGTCGAGGAGCGTTGTCTTAATACAAAAAGAAAATAAAAATTCAAATATAAATTTTTTATGTTTTACCAAACATAAAATTATTAAAATCATTTCCTTATAGGTAACAATAATTTAGTTCTCCCAAATTCAATAAGTTATAAACGTAATACACCTACTCTTTACTTATACATTATGTCAATTAACCAAATGAGTCTTAAACATCACTGATCATTCTACAAAAAAACAATCAATGGAATGTTGATAATAAAATAAGTCAATGACGATTTAATGGGTACAGCACACCAACATGGCACATGTATACATATGTAACAAACCTTCACGTTGTGCACATGTACCCTAAAACTTAAAGTATAATAAAAAAAAAAGTCATAGTAATCTATTAAGACACTGAAGTTTTTTTTAATGACTTTATTGAGATGTAATTCACACACAATTCACCGTTTGTTTTAAATAATACCTTTAAATTAGACTTTTAACAATAAACTAAATTCTACAGTTCATTCCAAAAAAACTTTACTTCTCGTTATAACTAAACAACAACATTAAAACAGACTTCACAAAATCTAACTTGAGTCCCCTCAAAGAAACCCAAATCTCTAAAAAGGAAAATTACTTTACAAGCAAGCAAGATCAGATTCCTATTTTAGCTCAAATGGGCAAGCCCAGGTTGTTTTTTTTTTTTAAAGTACAATGTTTATTTGGCATCAATATTTTAATTAACAATAAGTATATTAAAACTTGCTCAATACTAATTTTTGTAATTATTTCTCAAATGAAAAGTAGATTTTAAGAATTCAGATGTTAACTAAAAAGCAAAAAGTATAAACACCACAGAACTTTTAAATGTAAAGTGAACATATTGAACTTTGATTTAAATACATTTAAAAGTTTAAGAAAAACGTGTCCTAAATATTTCAAAGGATCTTCTTTATGTGTTTCTCATTTTCTTCTGAATTGACAACTTAGACACATTTTAGTCGACTAAATTTATGTACACTGGAAAAAACGCAAGTCTTTAAGTGGCAAGATTTGCTTTGAAATTTACTTTTTTTTTGAGACGGAGTTTCACTCTGTCGCCAGGCTAGAGTGCAGGGGCGTGATCTCAGCTCACTGACTGCAACCTCTGCCTCCCGGGTTCAAGCGATTCTGCCTCAGCCCTCCTGAGTAGCTAGGACTACAGGCACCTGTGACTATGCCCAGCTAATTTTTGCATTTTTAGTAGAGATGGGGTTTCACCATGTTGGCCAAGATGGTCTCCATCTTTTGACCTTGTGATCCGCCCGCCTCGGCCTCCCAAAGTGCTGGGATTACAGGCGTGAGCCACTGCACCTGGCCTGAAATTTACTTGTTTTAAACATTACTTTGTTTGAATGGAAATGTCATTTTAGTCCAGTATAAGAAAATTAGATATGCAAAAACTGACAGTGTTTCTTTAAAGTAACTTCTATCTGAACTGCAATTTTATTTTACGTATTTGGGACTCCAAACTACATGCTATTATAGAAAGCTGTATTTTTAAATTTAAAATCTACATTTCCCTTTCCAAATAAGATGTTACATCCACGTATCTTACTGAGAAGAGACAGGAAATTATGGATAGATACCAGATGAAGACGTTTCAACTAAGGTCTGAGTAAAAACACGAAAGGAATTAGAAGAAGGTGGAAAAGCACAAATATAGTAGAAATAGGACACCACCACCAAGTTATAGATTAATGAAGTACACTTAATAACCAATAAAGTCATGAACATATGTCATAATTCATATTAACAAGAAGAGAATACATAGAATAGTATATAATTTTCTGAACATACCTGACTAGCGTCCTTTATATGTATGTTGTCAACTAATTTGCATAACAACCAAAAATACTCTTTACATCCTGGTTTTAATATTGGTTCTTCCTCATAATCATCTATCTATTAAAAAAATTTTATACTTTGTGAAAACATTTTAAAAATAAATAAAATTATAATACATTTAAGAAACTAGAGGCTTTATGAAATAAATTCCTATATCCACTAAACAGTATTCAAAATCTTTTTAAAAATGGAGTACACGCTTAGTTTCTGTAAAATCAGAATAACCAGGCAAAAAAATGACAAACGTAAGAACTTTTAGGAAAATATTAGTCTCAAATTACTGACATTAAAAAAGATATGAACAGGGAGGAAAATAATGTAAATCCAACAACACACTGAATTTCTGGGGTTAGTAAAAAGTGGGCTCTAAATTTATTATGTATTAGAAGCCTTTTAAAGACTAGTATATGAACTAGGGTAGGAAATAAAATTTAAAATTCTGAATATCATAAAGATAAAAAGAAAACTGTGACTTACTAGAGAAGAGAGCTCCATTTATGATTTTTTATTAGTCAACTTATTAACACAAGGCCCAGAACCGAGTGAGAATAAATGCTATTTCTAAAATAGAGTATCCATGAGAGACCACAGAGCTGAAATCAGTCTCTTCCTAGTAGTAACATGGACACAATGTGTCACAATGCTGTCACCTTAAGTAGTATATAACTACTATCCTCTTGGTAAAAAATCACATACAGTAGTCAAATGATCAAAATTTTAAGGATATATTACAACGGTAAACTGAGGCAAAGGAAATTTCAAAAATAGAAACTGCTTCTAAACACAGTAAAATCTTACCCTAATAGGTTTGAGTGCTTGAGCATCAGGAAGAAATTTCAATAATGTTGAGGCAGCCAATAGCAGAAAAGAACGATTGATTGAGTCTCCTCCATCCAGCCCTGACAGGGATAACTTATAGAGACCACTGCATGATTCATGACGAACTGCAGTCTAGATGAAAAAGAAAGTTCCACAAACAGTGAGAGTTAGTATTACAAAGTTAATATGTTAGCAGAAATAATTTTAGGTGATTTTAAATACAATGTTCTGCCGGGCAAGCCTGTAATCCCAGCACTTTTGGAGGCCCAGGCAGGAGGATAACCTGTGGCCAGGTATCTGAGACCAGCCTGGCCAACATGGCAAAACCCTGTCACCACAAAAAATACAAAAATTAACCGGGTGTGGTGACTTGCGCCTGTAGTCCCAGCTACTCTGGAGACAGGCACAAGAATTGCTTGAACCAGGGAGGCAGAGTCTGCAGTGAGCTGATATGCCACTGCTCTCCAGACTGGGTGGCAGAACAAGATTATGCCTCATAAAAATAATTAATAAATATAATGTTCTAATCCCATACATATATATATGTAAATTACACATGATCAAATAAAGTATCTCAAGGTATACCATAATATATAAATACAGTGTTTTAGAAATCCTAAAGCATGGCCATAAAAACAGAAACAAAACAAAATAATGACAACAGGTAAATACAAAGAATAATTGAGTAAGGACATTTAGAATCATTTAAGTTATTTACAAGTCAGTAAGAGGATAAAATATTTTCAGAACTAGAAGCAACACAGAAGCAACTTCAATCGGAATATTCTATAGATTGTAAGCAAACTGTCCAAATGTCAAAATGGTTACCTGAGACAGGACTAGAACACAAATGACATTATATCCAGAACTAATTTTGTTTTGTTTTGTTTTGTTTTTAAGACAGAGTCTTGCTCTGTCTTCCAGGCTGGAGTGCAGTGGTGCGATCTTGGCTCACTGCAACCTCTGCCTCCTGGGTTCAAGCGATTCTCCTGCCTCAGCCTCCCGAGTAACTGAGATTACAGGTGCCTGCCACCATACCCAGCTAATTTTTTGTATTTTTAGTAGGGATAGGGTTTCACCATGTTGGCCAGGCTGGTCTTGCATTCCTGACCTCATGTGATCCACCCACCTCGGCCTGTGATTACAGGCGTGAGCCACAGTGCCCAGCCAGAGCTAATATTATTAGACAACGCAGGTTTAAAAAATAAGTGACTTTGGAGCTAAATATATTACTGTGTGTTTCTATTATTTCACATAGGAATATGAGGTGAGTAATGCCAAGATACAGCTAATAAAAATTATATTGGCCTCAGTGTCAACATGGGAAGCAAAATATATTTCTTTTATTTATTTGTAGTCTCTCTAGCCTCTATTTCTACTTAAATAGAAAACACAGGCTGGGTGCAGCGGCTCATGCCTATAATCCCAAGCAGTTTGGGAGGCCGAGGCAGGAGCATTACATGACACCAGGAGTTCAAGACCAACCTGGACAACACAGCGAGACCCCGTCTCTACAAAAAAGTTAAAAAACTAGCTGGGCATGGTGATGTGCACCTATGGTCCCAGCTACTTGGGAGGCTGAAGCCAGAGGATCGCTTGTTCCCAGGAGGTTGAGGCTGCAGGGAGCCTTGATTGCACCACTACACTCTAGCCTGGGTGATACAGGGAACAGGGAGATTCTGTCTCAAAGAAAGAAAAAAAAAAGGCCACAGAACTTTTCTAAAACATAAATTACCAAAATAAATTCTCAAGCCCTTCCTACTACCTGGAAAAACTTTTTTTTATTAATCCAAAGCAAAATAATCATTCTATAAACATTTCAGAAAAATATAAATGCTACATAATATATAATAGTCAGAAGTTCTTAAACATTGTACATAGTTCAAAACACTCTAGACCTTAAAGGATTAAGCAGATAATGTGATATATTTATGGACTCACGCATATTTGTTTCCATTAGCTCTTTTATTATCAATGCTAATAACATGAAAACATACAAAAAATAACAGTACTAACCTTCAATCTTTATCTTACCTCAGGAATAAGGAGAGTCAATTTCTTTAGCCAATCTTGTAAATGATCGCTATCAGCAAGGCTAGATTTCACTAAAGAACAGCAATGAGCCCAACTCACCAAGAGCCACATTGAATAATGTGAAACTAAAGAAAAATTAGAAAACAGTTCACTATAAAAGGTTTGTGCTAAAATGAAAACACAATGTTCAATATTAAAGGTAAAATATATCAATATATTATTCAAGTTTTTATTTATTAAAAGTTAACTTTGTGGAACCCTTACCTTCATGTCTAGACCTGTGATCAGACTGAGCTTTTAAAACTCTGTAAAGTAAAAACACCACCACCACCAATTAAATTCAGCAATGAATTAAAAATAATTCAATTTATTAACATATATCCTTTAAGGTTATCACTTCCCCCCCAAAAAAGGAAAGCAGTGGGTGTGTGAGTGAGAGTGAGAGTGAGAGTGAGAGAGAGTGTGAGTGTGTGTGTGTTTTAAAAGACAGGAGACAGGGTCTCACTCTGTTGCCCAGGCTGGAGTGCAGTGGCATGATCATGGCTCACTGCAGCCTTGACCTTCCAGGCTCAAGCAACCCTCCCACCTCAGCCTCCCAATAGCTGGGACTACAAGCATGTGCCACCACACTCAGCTAATTTTTGCAAAAGAGACTATATTTTAAGAGAGCTCCATTATTTATTTGTTTTATATTCTTTATCATTTATTTAAAGACTCACTGAAGAAGAGTCAAACTCATTGAAGAAGAGAGTAGAATAATGGTTACCAGAGGCTGGAGGGTGGGGTAGGGTAGGGTGGGGTGGGGCAGAGGGTATAAGTCAAAGGGTATGAAGTTCCAGATAGAGCAGGAAGTTTTGAAATCTATTACACAGCAGGGTGTCTAGTCAATAAAAATATATTGTATGTTTCAAAATAAAAAACAAACCAAATAAAAGAATCACTGGTAAAATCTTATTACAGCAAATACGAAATGACTTCAGATTTAATAAACAAAATTTGAATGAATAAAACATTGACTGAAATAAGTAAACCCTCAAGAAGTGCTCATGATTTAGTTACTAAAGAGATGTGTGTGACAAACACATAGGTTATAATGATTTAGAGTCTAAACTTTAAGACTCCTTTAAAAAATACATAATCTGAATCTAATCATGAAGGCTAATCATGAAAACTCAAACTGAAAAGTACTCTATAAAATAACTGGCCTGCATTACTTGAAAATGTATCATGAGAGAAAGGCTGAGAAAGTTATCTCTGATGAAAAGAAACAGAAGAACTGACAACTAAATGCAATACATTTAGTTGATCCTGAAGCAAGAAAAATACTGCTATAAAGAATACCAATAGGATTATTTTAATATGAACTATATGTTAGATAACATATCAATGTTAAATTCTATAAATTTAAAAATTTTACTCTAGCTATTAAGAAAATCTCCTTGGTCTTAGGAGATACACAACAAAGTACTGGTGAACAGTCATGATATCTGCAATTCAGTCTCAGAAGATTCAGGAAAACATGTAAACACACAGAAAATACGTGACTCATAAATACAAGACACATTTTAGCAACAGGTTAATAATACGTAAATTTGGATGGAAGGTATGAGAGATTTCATCATAATATCCCCCAAATTTTTCTATTAAGTTTAGAATTTTTCAAAATAAAGTTTTAAAACATTATATTCCTGCTATACATACACACATAAAATATATCTTAAAATGCATACCTAGGAGCCAGATTATCATACGTATAAGCAACAGACATAAGTCGCTGAATCAAACTGGTTCCTTGGACAAGAACAAGAAATACCTTTAAAACAAAAACATTTTAAAAGATATTTAAATACAGCAAAAGGAAAACCCTCAAAAAGCACTCAAGATTTAGTTACTAAAGAGATGTGTATTACAAAATTTTAACCCAAAATTCCAAATTATTTTGATATTTATCTATAACACAATAAAGAATGTCGTAAGAATTCTTTGAAAATACTGTAAAAATGCCAAGAATCGGAAAACCAGAATTTTATAATCACACTTAAGAGCAGCAACTGTAGGCTGGGTATGGTGGCTCACTGTAATTGCTGTAATCCCAGCAATTAGGGAGGCTCAGGTGGGTGGATTGCTTGAGCCCAGAAATCCGACACTAGCTGGCCAATGTGGTAAAACTCTGTTTCCACTAAAAATACAAAAATTAGCTGGGTGTGTGGTGCATGTCTACAGTCCCATCTACTTTGGAGGCTGAGAAGGGAGGAACACCTGAGTCTGGGAGGCAGTGGCTGCAGTGAGCTGAGATTGTGCCACTGCACTCCAGCCTGAACAACAAAATGAGAATCTGTCTCAAAAAAAAAAAAAAAAAAGTAAGAAAAGAAAAGAAAAAGAAAAGAAATTACTAAGAATTTAGAAATAGGGGCAAAAATAGTCTTTACATTCGATTCATAGATTCTCTGCATACCACTGAACTGGGGGAAAGAAATATATACATGTCAGTGGTTTCTTGGGAAGGGGTTGGTGAATAATTAAACATGTTTTTACTTTTGAAGAAAATATATTTAAAAAAACATCAAGTAGTAATAGATTCCTCAACCATCCTGAAATAAGAATTAAAAAGCAATATAATATACCACGGGTAGAGAGCATGGATTCTAGATTCAAAATCCTGAGGTTCAACATTCAGCTTCAGGCTACATGATCCTAATATATTTGGAATTCCTCAGTTCTAGTTCTTCCTCATATAAGGGGAGAAAATAATTCACTAACAATGAATTATTAAATTTATTCTGCAGGTTGGAAGGCATTCTGTGCACATACTTCCTAAGGCACTGTTTCTGCACTGGGGCAGGCAGCCACAGAAAACATGGTTAACACAAGTATATACAATGTGCAAATAAGCAAAAGAAGGGAGCAGGAACTAAACCTGTCCCTGGCAGAAGTGAGAAAACTTCCAGAAAAATTGATGTTTAGGCTAAATTTTGCAAGTAACTTTTTAAAATGCTATTAAAAAGATCACACGGAAAAATGATGGTAAACTCTTAAATAAGTTAGTGTTCTTCCTTACTACCTACAGTATATCAACATTAGATGACTCTGTCTTCAGTATTAACGCAACAGAAATTTTTATTTCCATAGATCTGAGATATACATACTAAGCTGGAATTATTTTGGGAAATAAACTCATGCAAAAACTATATAATATACACCTTTTCTAAAATTAAAAAAAAATAACATTGGCCCAGAGCGGTGGCTCACACCTATAATCCCAGCACTTTGGGAGGCCGAGGCAGGAGGATCACTTGAGGTCAGGAGTTTGAGATCAGCCTGTCCAAGATGGCAAAACCCCGTCTCTATGAAAAATACAAAAATTAGCCACGCATGGTGGCGTGTGCCTGTAATCCCAGCTACCTGGAGGCTGAGGTAGTAAAACCGCTTGAACACGGGAGGCAGAGGTTGCAGTGAGCCGAGATGGCGCCAGTGCACTTCAGCTTGGGCAACAGAGCTAGGCTCCGTCTCAAAAAAAAACCCCAAACCACTGGCATGTGCATAGAAAAAAATCTCTGAAAAGATAACACGAAAAGATATTAAGAGTAGTCACCTATGACTAGGGAAAAAGTTCGCTTGTGTATTATGAATTTTCAATAAGCTTGTAGTTGCATATTATTTTTAAACACAAACCAATAACCTATAAACCTCCATAAACGTGCGTATTTTACACATACACTTATGTATATTTATATTATTAAAATCTCAAAAGGAAATTGCCAATAAAGGTCAATAAACATTGGAATTATTTAGTGAGTGATGGAAAGGATCACAATTAGAGCATTATTATAACCTGGAAAGTTTATTCTGAAAAAAACATGACCAAAACATTATAGTAATGTAAGGTTACTAAAGTGGTAGTTCACAACACAGTACATTGCAGAATACATTCAGATTATATTGTACTCTGCATATATTTCGTTTTATTAGATGTAAATGATTTGGAATACTGACAGAGATCATTTTTCCCATTTAACCCCCAAAATTCCAAAAAGGAAATCTGCTTCAGGTTTCCATTTATACCAGTACTTTCTAACCTTATGTCCGTCACAATCTATCAGTAACAATTCATTACTTTGATGTTTCTTGGGTAGACACGAGGTGAGGTTCTCAAAAGGTTACAAAATGAGATCTCCCTAAAATCTCACCTTGATCACTCCCTACCTCCCGACTCACTGACGGAGATGTTGGAAAGGCAAATATTTGATTACAGAATCCACAATCAAAAAGATTCTATTTTTATTGCTCGATGTCCTGGTTAATACAGTTGACCCTTGAACAACACAGGTCTGAACTGCACAGATCCACTTGTATCTGGGTTTTCTCCCAACTCTGGCACTCCTAAGGCAGCAAGGCCAACCCCTCACCTTCCTCCTCCTCTTCTACTTCCTGATCAATGTGAAGACCATGAGGATGAAGACCTTTATGATGACCCATTTCCACTTGAAGAACAGTAAATATATTTTCTCTTATGATTTTCTTAACACTTTCTTTTCTCTAGCTTACTTTAAGAATACAGTATATAATAGTATTAACATACAAAATATGCATTCACCAACTGTTTGTTATTGGTAAGGCTTCTGGTTAATAGCAGGCTATCAGTAGTTAAGTTCTAGGGGAGTCAAAAGTTATATACAGATTTTTGACTGTATGGAGGGTCAGCATCCTTAACTCCTCTATTTTTCAAGGGCCAACCATATTTTCTTTCATCTCCAAATCCACCCTTTTATACACTTGTTCTATTATGCTAGGGCAAATATATCAAAAACCAAATTCCTCCTTTGCCAGGTGGCTTCCTATTAGGTTCTGCCAGTCTAGGATACTTGAGAGACTCCTCCTTTCTTTCTTCTGTCAGCATTTATCTAAAAGTATTTACCTAGAAGACAGAGTTTGTTTCAGCCTTCAGCTTTTTTAGGCACTCCTAGCACCAGCTTTATCAGGTCCCCTCTGATAATCTTATAGCAGATGAGCATAAGAGCGTAACTGCTTTCTCAGAGGCCTAAACCCCGGTTTAACAGGATCCCTCCTGCAAGCTTCTAAGTTCCTGATAACCCAACCACTTCCCTAATGTTCCACAAGATCTAGGGGTGATAAATGGCTCCTTATCTGGCTTACCTCACCACTCCCTTTTGTTTTTAAAGCCTTGTAACACATACGTGTAAAACTGATTCTCTATTTTAAATTTCCTATGTTGAAATACCAACTATGGCTTCTGTTTTCATAAATGCATCCCCAAAGTATATAAATTACTGAGTTCAAATAATAAATTCAGTCTCACAGATATTAAAATGGCACGACTCATTTCTGCATTCTGGATGATGAAATGAAAAGCAATACTGCTTCATAATCACTACTGCTTTAAAACAATGCCGTCAGTTCAGCTGTCAGGTTAAGTCACAGTAATCTAGAATACATTTCTTAAGCATTAGCATATTTCTTCAGTTTATAAAAATAAATGGAATTCATCATTAAACATTAATTTCTGCACTTTACCTCTGTTAATCGTGGTATATGAAGACCCTTAGCATGATCACCAGCAGCCTTCCTTGATTTGCCAGGCCAGGTTCTTTTCCTATGGCTTTCCGCTATACCAGACCAGGCAAAGACATCATGATAAGCTAAATCCAAATCGGATGGATCTACTGCAAACTGGCATATTAACTTCAGCAAGCAAGCAAGACAGTCTAGCTGCCACTGTAAATGAGAAGAAATAGTCAATTCCCTATTTTCATTAATTTAGAATGGCCACAATACAATTTTGAAATTAAAAGACCAGAAAATAAAAATAATTATAGCTAGTACTTAATCATGTACTATAAAAATTCTGCTGCTCAAATATTATGGTCAGTACCAATTCAATCTTATAAAAATGAAGAAAAAGTATCTAGAAATAAAGAGGGTATACAAGATGTATTTAATGAAATGGAAATGACACTTTCATTTCTTTAATGAAGGCAATATAAAAATATATGTAATAGCTATGAGATTTTTGAAAAAACATACTGCTCATAATTTATAATTTTTTAAAAAATTAAGATGACAAGGATATTACTTATCAATAAAATTAACTGAGAAACAAAGTATTATATGCTGTGTCTCCCAACGAGTGGCACAAACTCTTAATACTTACGGACCAAAGCAATTGCTAGTAATTCTAGAAAATAATTCAACTGAAACTCTTGCACTTTCCATAACCACATTAAAAATAAATTTATTTTATTTAAAAAGTTGTTTTAAATATTGTTTAGTATGTATAAAAAATAAAATTTACAGCTGACTGGAAGCTCAATTTTAATAACAGTTCACTTTCTTTAATTAGAATATCACTTATGTACAAGATGAGAGTTTCACAGCTTTTTCTTCAAAAGTTCTTAACCTCCTGCTCTCCTGATTCCACTGCCAAATATATTCCTACACAAACATACCAGAAAGAAATGGTACTTTCTTCCTGCAATAATACCTATACTATATTACTGAACCGAAAGAAAGACAGCAAGATAATTCAGAGAGAAAAAAAGTCTTTTCAACAAATTGGTGCTATAAAAACCAAATAGCCGTATGAAGAAGGAAAAAAATTCAATATTGCATACACAAAACTCAAAATGTATTGTTACAGATCTAAACGTAAAAGAAAAGACTATAAAACTTACAGAAAGCAGAGGAGAAAAGTCTTTGTGACCTTGGTACAAATATTTGTAGACTGGATACAAATTTCATTAAAATTAAAACCTCTCCCCTAAAAGATGCTGTCAGTATAATGAAAAAGTAAGCCACAGCATGTGTGGGGGGCTTGTCCCCATACACACATCAGAGAAAGACTTCTCCATAATATTTAAGGGAAAAGACCATCTCACAACTATATACTAAGACATTTCACAAAAGAAGATAAACACACAATCAACAAACACACAACATAATGCTAAACATCATTAGCAATGAAGGAAGGACAAGTGAAGCCACCGTGAGCTAACACTACTATACCCATTAGAATAGCTCAAATTTTAAAACCCTGTTCATATCAACTTCTGGCAAGGATGTGGAGTAAATGAAATTCTCGTATGTTGCATAGTATAACTGTTCTGAAAAACAGTTTGGCATCTTCTTATAAGGTTAATCTTACACTTACCATATTATTTAGCAATTTCATCACTTGGTATTAATCCAAGAGATAAAAACATACATATACCAAATGACCTGTATGTGAATGTTTACAGAAACTTTATTTTAACAACCCAAAACTGTAAGCCACTCAAATGTCAATAGGTGAGCAGATAAATGAACCGTGGTATACCTATACAACGAATATATTACTCAGCGATGAAAAACATTTAACAACCTCAAAAAGCATTCTGAATAAAAGAAGCCAGATACAAAATGGTACATATTGCACTGATCCAATTACATGAAATTTTATAAAATGAAAATCTCATCTATTGTAACACAAAGTGGAGGAAGAAAAATTAATAGCAAAACTGCAGGACGGAACTTCTTAAGTAATGGAAATATTCTTTGTTTGGATGTTAGAGCGTTACATAAACATTTTTCAAAACTCACTCTTTAAAATGAGTGCATTATTTATTACATGAAAAGTATACTGCAACCTCACATCATATGCAAAAATTAACTTAAAATGGACCAAAGACCTAAAAAAGTGAGAGCTAAAACCAGAAACCTCTTAACAGAAAACATAGTCATCAATCTCTGTGTAAGGGGATTAGGTAACGGTTTTGTAGATACAACATCAAAAGGACAAGCACAAAGGAAAACAGAGACACTAGACTTCATCAAAATTACAAATTTTTGTAAATCACAGGGTGCTCTCAAGAAAGGGAAAAAGGCAACCCATAGAACGGGAGAAAATATTTGTAAATCACATGCACTGTAAGGAATCAGTATCTGAAATACATAAGGAATTCTAACAAATCAACAAAAAGACAACCCAATTAAAAGTGGGCAATGGATGTGAATTGACATTACTCCAAAGATAAACAAGTGGCCAATAAGCACATGGAAAGATGTTCAACCTCATTAGTCACCAAGGAAATGCAAATCAAAACCACAACTAGGTACCACTTTACACACTAGGATAGCTAAAATAAAAGAGACACTAACAAGTCTTGGAAAGGATGTGGAGAAACTGGAACCCTCACACATTGCTGGTAGAAATGTAAAATGTTGCAGCTTTGGTAAACTGTTTGGAAATTCCTCAAAAAGTTAGAAGTTACCACAGGACCCAGAAACTGCACTCTATACCCAAGGCACAACTGTTTATAACAACATTATTGATAATAGCCCCAAACTGGAAACGATGCAGATGTTCACCGACTGATCAATCTTCCACTCCCTGGATTCAGCTGTGACTGAACAAACATTTCACCAAAGATTTATGAATGAATGTGTTTGTGTGTGCATATATATGTGTACACACACACATACATGCATACATGCTTATGAATGGTCAACAGACACATGAAAAGCTGCTCAAGATTCTTAGCATTGGGAAAATGTAAATGCTAGAAATCACAATAAAATACCACTTAAGTATTGGCAAGGTATACCACTCCTAAGCATATGCCAAAAAGAAGTGAAAATGTATTATCTATGCATAAACTCATAAACAAATGCTCACAACAGTCACAGTGTAGAAATAACCCAAATGCTTCTCAATTGGTGAATGGATAAACATGTAATATAATTATAAAAAAATGAATTATTGATACTTGCTACTTCCAAGGATGAATCTCGAAAATAGGCTAAGTGAAAGAAACCAGTCACGATGGACCATATATTGTATGGTTCCATTTATAGGAAATGTCCAGAATGGGCAAATCCACAGAAACAGAAAGGAGACTATAATGATGGTTGCCTAGGGCTAAAGCGTTTAGGGGGAGGTTTCTTTTGAAGGGATACAACTGTTCTGGAATTAGATGCTGGTCATAGTCCCACAACTTTGTGAATATAGTAAAAACAGTACATTTTGGAGGAGTACATTGATTGCATGTTAACTATATTTCAAAAAAAGTTTTAAAGGTATACTTCAACTAAACTCATTTGAAAAGGAAAAAAAAAATAAGAAACAAGAACAATCCTGAACTTAGAAGTATTTCATAATATTAAGAGAGATGCACTATAAACAGGAAATACCAGTTGACCTGAAAGCAATTTCTATCTTAGACATGCTTTGCATCTTGGGCATTATAAAGCTACAATAAGCCACATATTGGCAATAAAATGTTACTAGTAATACTTCAGGAAAGTATTCATAATTTCAAGAAAAACAAACAGAGAAAACCTTTAGTACGGGGGTGTCCAATCTTTTGGCTTCCCTGGCCACACTGGAAGAACAACTGTCTTGGCCCACATGTAAAATACACTAACACTGACGATAGCTGATGAGCTAACAAATTTAGACATAAGATTACTTGATGTCAAATCATTATACCTGACTCCTAGGTTCAAAGGCAATTCAAAAAAAGCAAAACAAAACAAAACAAAAAACCACAGGAACTAAGAAAATACTTGAATTCAATGTTTGATAATGCTAAACTGCTTTGATGGAAGAAAATGGAATGTCCTTTACAATGAGCTTGAAACTGGCCTGGGCAGTTTTGTATATCATTATTAAGATTTAAATATTCTATAAGCAATTTTATTTTCATATAGTACTTCTTCAAATCACGGTGGTAAAGTTAACATTTTTTAAAATTTCCATTTTTTTATGCAAGTTCACAGAAAAAAAAATTCCATTTTGTTGAGGACCAATACTTTTGTAAAGTATTATAAAATACAGCAACAATGTCTAATTGCTATAAAAATTTCTAGAGGCTTACTCTCAATTTCTATATCCATCTCAATGTAAGCCAGTCAACATGGTCTGGAAACACGTTTTTAATTATTACTACTATAAAGGAAGAAATGATCACAACAAAATAAAACAAAAAAAGTTTTTTGAAAAAACTAAGATGTAAACCAAATTTTTAAAAAGCAACCAAACTTTATATAAATATTAATATATAATTTATCAACCTAAAGGAAACATGTTTATGAACTGGCCAGAGTTTAGAGTAATTAATTTTATCAGAAGAATTTTTTAATACTGATAACATGAAAAACACTTATTCCTAATTAGTTTATCAAACTGTATTTTTAAATTCATTTCTGCTATATTCCATACTTTATTATAAGGAACTATATGGCAAAAGCTATACTTGCTGATGAAATGGAAGTATTTCAAATGGGATAACTACTGTAACTAGTTGAAACCATAAATATGCACTTACCACAGTCCATGATTCCTGCTCTTTAGGCTCTAGAATTCCAGAATTAAAAATTTCTAATAACTGTTGAAGCCCTCCAGCAGCAACAAACTGTAGGCAATTGTGAAAGTAATAGTAAGAGAAAAGCAGATATATAATGCAATAATGCTTGTTGATTCAGTAACTGGATATGTAAAATATTACGTATCTTTTATTTACACTACTATTCATTTAAATTACCAAAATAATTTCTAGACAAAATAATAAGATAAAGGCTACTTTCAAGAATTTAAGGGTGGGTGCAATGGTTCATGCCTGTAATCCTAGAACTTTGGGAGGCCAAAGCCAGACGATGGCTTGAGGTTAGGACTTTGAGACCAGCCTAGACAACATAGGAAGACCTCATCTCTACAAAAAATAAAAAAATTGGCCGGGTATGGTGGCTGGTGCCTATAGTTTCAGCTACTAGGGAGGCTGAGGCAGGAGGATCACTCGAACCCAGGAGGTCAAGGCTGCAGTCAGCCATGATCATGCCACTGCAATCCAGCCTGGGTGACAAGGTGAGACCCTGTCCTAAACAAAACAAAATAAAACAAACAAGAATTTAAAAAAATATACACTTGAGGCCAGGCGCGGTGGCTCACGCCTGTAATCCCAGCACTTTGGGAGGCCGAGGCGGGTGGATCACGAGGTCAGCAGATCAAGACCATCCTGGCTAACATGGTGAAACCCCGTCTCTATTAAAAATACAAAAAAATTAGCCGGGTGTGGTGGCGGGCGCCTGTAGTACCAGCTACTCCAGAGGCTGAGGCAGGAGAATCGCGTGAACCTGGGAGGCGGAGCTTGCAGCAAGCAGAGATCGCGCTGCTGCAATCCAGCCTGGGTGACAGAGCGAGACTCCATTTCAAAAAAAAAAAATTTATACACACACACACGAAAAAGCCTATAAACATCTTTCTATTCCATTAGCCATTTAGTCCTAGACACTGGGATGTCCTCACAGTATCTTTTTTTTGCTGCCCAGGCTGGAGTGCTGTGGTGCGATCTCAGCTCACTGCAACCTCCACCTCCTGGGTTCAAGTGATTCTCCTGCCTCAGCCACCTGGGTAGCTGGGATTATGGGCAGCATGCTACCACACCCAGCTCATTTTTGCATTTTTAGTAGAGACACGGGTTTTACCATGTTGGCCAGGCTGATCTCAAACTCCTGACCTCAAGTGATCCATCCGTCTCAGCCTCCCAAAGGGCTGGATCACAGGCGTGAGCCACCATGCCAGGACTCTCACAGTATTTCAATAGAGGGAAAATCAGAGCTAAAAGCAGGAGCACCAAGGCATTAAATAATCTCAGTTTACGTTATTGCAACTTAAAGTAATACATGATTTTTAAACTATGCTTTATTTTAATAGTATATTAGTTTAAAATCAATGAAGAATTATGGTACCCACTTTTGAAAAACTGAAGATAAATTATTTTTATCAATACATTGAAAAACACATATGATCAAACCTTGCAACTCCAGGAATTTTTACTATTTTCCACTTGATCTTCACTTGAATCATCTGAATCTGGATAAAGATCACTGTAACTTCCCTATGAGAAAGGCAAAAAAAGTAAGGCAGAATGGCGGAAGAAAGAATTATTATAGAATGGAAAAGACAATACATTATAGAATTTTGCTCCAGAGAGAATACAAACATTTAATGATAATAATGGAAATGCAATTACCGTAGACTCCCTCCTTATTCTTCTATTAGGTTTTCCCAGTGCTTCAATAATTTCCAGAGCATACAATAGCTTGTGGGCGCTCTTAATTTTGAGAAGTTCTTTCCAATTAAATCCATCATTACTCTTAAATTAGAAAAACATGTTTCTCAAGCCAACTTACTCAGGGAACACAAAAAAGAAAAACTTTAAACAAACTGACACTACATAAAAACTCAAAATATTATATATACTTTGAAACATATTAAAACATATGAAGACTAGGTATATAACTGGCACAAATGGTATGCTTAAAACATCAATTATGCATTAAATTTTCTGAAAATAAACCCAATAAAATTCATATACAAACAGCAGCATGGGAAAATAATTAACTGTTAATCTTCCCAATTAAAAGAAGAAACAACATTGTGATCTAGTTGAGTGGGTAAACTTCTAAAGATGGTGATGAATTAAATGTCTGTACTTAATAGTTACAACTATATATTTAAAAGTCATACAAATATATGAACTCAGGAACACTGCTGTTTTCTACTGTCAATTCATGAAATAATGTAATTCACACTTAATGTGCATCTTTGAAATGCTATTACTAGTGCTACTGTAAGTCATCATTTGGCATTTTGAAGAGCCCATCTTCTTCACTTCCAAGTCTTGTGAGATATTGGCTCTCCCAAAATCACATGATAATGTTCCAAATCCTAGAATTAGTATAACATTAGGACATTTATTTTTTCATTCATCCTGTAGAGTTCTTTCGGAGATGTCCTCAAATAAACTACTTATTATACAAATTTTAAAAACAATCTTTAAGCCAGGAGCAGTGGCTCATGCCTATAATCCCAGCATTTTGGGAGGCTGAGATGGGCAGATCATTTGAAGTCAGGAGTTATAGATCAACTTGGCCAAAACGGTGAAACCCTGTCTCTACTAAAAATACAAAAATGAGCCAGGCATGGTGCACACGCCTATGGTCTCAGCTACTGGGGAAGGTTGGGGGAGGAAGGATCACTTGAGCCCTCGTGGTTGTGGTTGCAGTGAGCTGAGACCACACCACTGTACTCCAGCCTGGGTAACAGAGTTATACCTTATCTCAAAAATAAATAAATAAATAAATAAATTAAAACAGTCTTTAATGTTAAAGACTTTACAAAGATACCCAACACACATGTGAGGTGGTGTCCATATGGAAAAAAAATTATCACACAGATATTAAATTTATTTGCCTCATTTTCTCCAATTTGGTCAGTTAATTTGTATAAGCACACAAAACAAACACTGATGCACATCATTTCACCTCTGTGTATTTTCTCTAAACATTACTTTTTGTTACTAAGAACAAAAAACAATATTAAAAGCATACTGTAATATGAAAAAACACTAATATAAAATGTCAATAATTTTAGAAAACATCTTCATCTTACATTTAGCCTCTGATACATTATTCACCCATTATTCACCCTCACTAAATAAACAAATGAACATTAAAATGCAGTGGCACTTTTTACCTACTATATGGGTAAAAACTATATTCAGATTTACTGAGGGTACATCAACAGGCAATCTTCTACACTGTCAATAGGAATGTAAACTGGTAACAGCCTCTAGGAGAGTAAAGAGATTTTGTGGGCTCACCTGCTCATCTGAGATATTCTGGAATGCCATCAACATATTAGGACATGTAGGAAGAAGCATCAGTAGCTCCCAGACCCGCCTAGACAGATTTTCTGCATGAAGATGAAGTTCTTCACATCGTAAGCTCTACACAAATAAGAACAACTACTTTATCAAAACAGATCAGAAAAGAAAAAGTTTTAAGTTCAAATTTTTGCATAAAGTAATGATCAAATTTGCTAATAGTTTTTAGCCTCACTTTTTGAAAAGTGAGAAATGAAACATTTGTTATATGATACATATTTGAGAAAATTAATAGCCAAGCAGTGTTTTTTCAACTTCTTACTGAACATTTTTCTAGAAAAGCTTTCCTCTAAGACTGATCATGTTCCTCATGAAACTTTTCAAATAAAAGTGAAAACATCTGTTTAAAGGCCAGAAAATTCTAACAAATTTCAATATGACAATCATCTATTTCCATTTTGCAGGTCACTATTCTAAGCACAATAAAGACTGGGTGAATTAAATCCTTGAACTTCCATTTAGGAAAAGAGCCTGTTTCTCTTATGTTGCTAATCTAAACCTCATTTTCCAGTCTCAGATGAACAGACGTTAAGAAGAAAGCAAACAATTTTAGAGACCTATTTTTTTCCATTATCATTTGTTAAATCTTGCTAAGTTCCAAAACTTGCTAAGGCAAGAGTAAGCTAAACAACGTTTCAAAAACCACTTAGGAAATAGGCAATTAAACAAAAATTTAAAGTACCACCCTGAGAGGTAAAAAGAGTAAAAACTAAAATTGACAGTTTTGGTATTTTCCACGGAGTATAAATTTATTACTACTGCTACTATCACAGTGATTCTTTGGTATAACATGGTCTAGGGATATTCTATAAGCCTATAAAAAGAAACTTAGTTCTTTTGGTATAATGGCAGAAACATGGTGCACTTTGGTGGCAAGAAAATCTTTATTTTTTTTTTGAGATGGAGTTTCGCTCTTGTAGCCCAGGCTGGAGTGCAATGGCACGATCTCAGCTCACTGCAACCTCCGCCTCCCGGGTTCAAGCAATTCTCCAATGTCAAGGAAATCTTAGAAAGTTTCAAGGTAAATTTGGTCTTTCACAAGCTTGATGAACAAAGAGAAGCAACCCTCGAGTAACACTTGCGCTATACTTGAGGAAATGGCACTCAGTTCTTCAATAAAACAACTCATCATTCCGTTGTAAATAACCATTAAAAAGAGAAATATTGAATTCTATGCAAAAAAGGATTAGAAGGAAAAATATCTTCAAAGTGTGCATAAGTATGTTCTGCAATGACTGAAAGTCTCATGAGACATACACAGTAAAGATACTTTATTTTTACTTTTTTGTGTAACTCTCATCAGGGCCAAACCTATCTTATTCAGCAAAAAATCCCTGTTATCAACCTGCCAAAAATAAGATTCAATAAAATATCTGCAGCTGGGTGCAGTGGCTCCCACCTGTAATCCTAGCACTTTGGGAGGCAGAGGTGGGCGGATCACAAGGTCAGGAGATCAAGACCATGCTGGCTAACAGAGTGAAACCCTGTCTCTACAAAAATACAAAAAAAAAAAAAAAAAAAAAAAACTAGCTGGGCGTGGTGGCGTGCGCCTGTAGTCCCAGCTACTCAGGAGGCTGAGGCAGGAGAATGACTTGAACCTGGGAGGCGGAGGTTGCAGTGAGCCGATAACTTGTCACTGCACTCCAGCCTGGAGGACAGAGTGAGACTCTGTCTCAAAAAAAAAAAAAAAAAAAAAAAAAAAAAAAAAAATCTGCTGAAACAATGAAATGCTTTCCCTTTGGTTTAAGTCTCACTACTCAGACTAACGTAACAGCCTATTAACATAACAGCCCAGGATCTCTTATCACTGGTCCTGGTTTTCTCTACTACATCCTCCACACAAACATCTAAATTTTGTTTCTAAAAGCCCAGAAAAGAGCTCATTTTGCTGCTTAAAACCAGCCATAATGATGGATTAAAAAAAAAAAATCATTTAGGTCCTTTTGCGATACAAGTTACAGTCTACCTTTCTGTCCTAGTATTTAAATTACACTATGCTAGTATTCCCAGGTCCTCAAACATGGCATTTGCTTTCTTATTGAGGAAAATCTGTAATGCTTTTCTCTTCACTCTTAACAGTAGCTGGACCCAATTTGAACAACTCCTCTTTTGAAAAAACCTTCTGCAAATTTTTGTCCCCCTCCTCACATTATTCCCCTAATACATGGAACAGAACACCAGCACTAGGTGAGAAAACAGAGGTTTCATGGGCACCTATTAATGATTATTCTGCTTGAAAAAACAATGGGTATTTCTTGGGAATTTAAGAATGTACCATCACGTGAGAAACTGAGGTATAAGAAACAGAAGGCTCAATGGCAGCCCACTGCATCCATTATCAAACACATCATGGAAACGGGAAGAAGTCACTTAACAATCTTGGGGAAGAAAGAAAAGCATACTAGCCTAACACAGGGAAAACTATCAAAATACCACCATTTTACCTGCCTCTCAATCTCAAAATTGTGATTCACTGCATAAGCTACATGAATACATGAAAAGGTCTTAGAATAAGCCCATTTAAAGGCATTGTTTTAAAAGTTAGTGGATTGAATATGGCTCCTTTAGGTGATATCACACATACTCTTGCCTCTGAATGCCATCTTCAGGCTGGGCACAGCAGCTTATGCCTACGATCCCAGCACTTTAGGAGGCTGAGGTGGGAGGATCGCTTGAAGCCAGGAGTTTGAAACCAACCTGGGCAACATAGAGAGACCATGTCTACAAAATATTAAAAAATTAGCCAGGCACATTGGCATGCACCTGGAGTTCCACCTATTCAGGACGCTGAGGCAGCAGGATCACTTGAACCTGAGAGATCAAGGCTACAACTGAGCTACGATCATACCACTGCACTGCAGCCTGGGTGACACACTGAGACCATGTCTCACAAAAATAAAAATAATAATAAAATAAATGGCATCTTTATAGTGATAACCCACAAACCATTTTTCTAGACTATACCTTTTCCTCTGAGCTCCATACTTATATATCCAAGTGATTACCTGACATCTCTATTTGATGTTCCTCAGGCATCTATCTATCCTTCAGCTCAAATGGAATCCACCCAGTTGCACAGGCCAGAAACCCAGTGCCATTTCTGTCTTCCTTCTCCTCTTCATTCCCTACTCCTAAAACCCAAACCACCACCAAGTGATGTTGTTTTGACCTGTTGTCGATTTATTTCCACTGCTGCCATCCTATTTCAGGGCAACTTGTTCCTGGACTCGTATATCAAATGCTTTACTGACTTTGTTACTTTCTCCAAAGAAACTTATTAGGTATAAAACAAAAATCAGAACATGTGTTTATCCTCTGTTTAAAATCTTTTAATGTTGTCCACTTTGAGTAAAATGGAAATGACTCACGATGACGCAAAAGGTTTACATTATTTCGCTCTGCCTACCTTTCCAATTTCATTCCTCCCATTCTACTCTCCCATCCTCTTCCCCATTCTCCTTTCTAGCTAGCACACGGCACCATGCCCAGCTAATTTTTGTATTTTTAGTAGAGACGGGGTTTCACCATGTTGGTCAGGCTGCTCTTGAACTCCTGACCTCGTGATCTGCCCATCTCAGCCTCCCAAAGTGCTGGGATCACAGGCGTGAGCCACCGCCCCGGCCCAATTTTACTACTCTTAAAAGATTACTGAGGGCCAGGCACGGTGGCTCATGCCTGTAATCCCAGCACTTTGGGAGGCTGACATGGGTGGATCATGAGGTCAGGAGTTCAAGACCAGCCTGACCAACACAGTGAAACCCCATCTCTACTAGAAATGCAAAAATTAGCCAGGTGTGGTTGCACACGCCGGTAATCCCAGCTACTTGGGAGGCTGAGGCAGGAGAATGGCATGAACCCGGGAGGTGGAGCTTGCAGTGAGATGAGATTGCACCACTGCACTCCAGCCTGGTCAACAGAGTGAGATGCCGTCTCAAAAAAAGAAAACAAAAAAAAAATGAACAAAAAAAAAAAAGGAGAGAAAATTATTATATACTTTATAACGTTTTATAAACTATACTTTTATTAAAGTTACTATATCCTCTCAACAGAGACACAAAACAAGATTTGTGAAAATGAAACATAGTCACCTCACTATCATCCACTGCCACTTTTCCTGAGGGTGGTTTAAATGATGCAAGCATCTCTAATAAATCAAAAAGAGTAGTTAAATGAGGCTCTTGTAAAAGCAAAAGCATTGGAATGTTGTCCTTCTGAGGGGGTGGGAGGCAAGATGCTGGCAGCTGAACACCTTCCCCTTTCCGCTCTCTCCTTGGTGCACCCAAAGATACAAATACCATCTATAAAAAACAGGAAAAAAAATTTATGCATATCAAGCTTTTAGTTTAATAAAACGGTAAATCTGAAGTATAGAATCACTTAAAATTTTAATATAACAAAGCAATAAGAGCTGTTTTTAAACTACATCTGCGACTATTCAACTGATGATTATAAACAGATCATTAAAACTCAAACCACGTTTTATATATGTACCTGCATATCCTTAAAACCAAGCTCATGAAGTGCTTTTTCATCATAATCTGTTGTTAACTCGTGTCCAGATGAAATCATCCTGACAGGTCCCATGAGGCCTCCTTAAAAACAGCAAAACATGGAAATGAATTTGTTTTTAAGAATTAACTTACTTGCTGATAAGAATATGTAGTTGTAGCAATTAAACACACTGTATGTTAAGTTTAAATGTAATCTAAGGTAAAGACAGAAAACTCAGTAGATTGAGGATAGTTATTTCTAGAATGCATTAAGTCCTTTTAGCTGCCTACACCTTCAACTTCATTTCCCACCATCTTCCCTATCTCACACTATGTTCAGCCAACTGGCCTCCTTGCCCTTTCTTGAAAATAACAAGTATATTACCAACTCAAGGACTAAGATTTCTCTCCAGGAATTCAAGATACTTATTTTCTCACCTCTTTCAAGTCTCTCATCCAATGGGAGCTTTTTCCTTACCGCCCAATCTAAAAGCTTCACTTCACCATTAACCCTTTACTCTCCTTTATCTTTCTTTAAAGCACTTGTTAACACCTCATATTTGTTATCTGGGAAGGGATGGGAGGGTGAGGAGAAAAAAGAGAGGGAAGGAAAGGAAAAAGGAAAGAAAGAAAGAAAGAAAAAAAGGAAAGGGAAAAGGAAAGGAAGACTGACAAATTCCCAGTTCCACAAGGGCAGAGGTGTTTTATTCACACATGCATGCCAGGCACTAAAATGGAGAAGACATTCAAATTAAGTATTGTATAATGTACAACTTTTTCGGGAAAAAAAATGATTAGAGCAGGAAAATTAAGCAAAATTAAATGTCTGATGAATAATTTAAACTTTAAAAATATTGCTAAACTTCATTCAATATAGAAAAACTCCACTGAACAGACACTAAACAATTACTTTCAAGAAAAATGAGTGGGGTAAGGCTATCGCTTTTCATAATGACACATAACATTTTAAAATTACCTTTCCCTTCACATAATAAAAAAGGTTTGTGGAAAAATATTTCAAACACAGAAGGAATATGTTTTTCTTCCAAGACGAGTCATATTGGCAATTTGCCTTAAGCACAATTTTTTTATAAGTAAATTGCTAATCATTGTGTAGCTAAATCTATGATTCTTTCCCTTTCTCATTATTTCTAGCCCTCAATCTTGGCCCTCAAAATGGTTTGACAAACGTTCAATCCTATTTTCTTCTAAATTTTCCTACCATTGTTAACACAGATACAACATTTTAAACATATCCTAAATATTAGAAAAAGGGGTTTTTCTTTCCCCAAACTGAACAAGTCATATATGACTAATTTTCAGTATCCATTCTATATCATTTAACTAACAATTCCCATACCAAAATCAAATTATGGTTTAATGTTTATACAGCTAGTACGGAAGTTCAACTTTCTATTATCCTTTTGAATTTTTCTCCCAGGACTTTTTTGTTTTTTCTTTTTTCATAAAGTGCCAATTTACTGACCTCCCAGAACTTATAATATTGCTTAGTTTATTCATACAGATAACTTCACAGTAATTTCATCAAATTTTAAACAAAAATTACATTGGAATTACTGATAGAACATTTTAAAAAATAAATTTACCTAACATCTTTACAATATTCTGTACAGAGACATGCTATTTCAATTTACTCAGATGTTCGCTTATCTCCAAAAGTTTTATTCTCACATTTTACAAAGACCTCATATTATTGTAAGTTTTTTTTTTTGAGACGGAGTGTCACTCTGTCACCCAGGCTGGAGTGCAGTGGCTCAATCTCAGCTCACTGCAACCTCCGCCTCCTGGGTTCAAGCAATTCTCCAGTCTCGGCCTCCTGAATAGCTGGGACTACAGGCGTGCACCATCACACTTAACTAATTTTTGTATTTTTAGTAGAGACGGGTTTCTCCATGTTGGCCAGGCTGGTCTTGAACTCTTGACCTCCGGTGATCCGCCTGCCTCGGCCCCCCAAAGTGCTGGGATTACAGCCATGAGCCACCACGGCCCAGCCAGAATATCGTAACATCTTAAAATTGCTATTATATACTTGATTTAGTGTCCTATTCATCATGTTGCTCACAAATTATAACTGAATAATCTAATAGCGATACCATTTTATAGTGTATTTTACTTTATTCAAATCATTTTGTATTATACAAAACCAGAAGAAAAGTAAATGCTTATGAAGCAGCGTATTCATTAGGAAAAGCTTTGGCTACTGGATGGACAGAAATTCTGTATTAAACTTTTTTTTTTTTTGAGACAGAGTCTCGCTCTGTCGCCCACGCTGGAGTGCAGTGGCACAATCTCAGCTCACTGCAAGCTCCGCCTCCTGGGTTCACGCCATTCTCCTGCCTCAGCCTCCCAAGTAGCTGGGACTACAGGCGCCTGCCACCACGCCTGGCTCATTTTTTGTATTTTTAGTAGAGATGGGGTTTCACCATGTTAGCCAGGATGGTGTTATCTCCTGACCTCGTGATCTGCCCGCCTCGGCCTCCCAAAGTGCTGGGATTACAGTGTGAGCCATTAATACTTTGGTAGTTTTTTTGTTTTGTTTTGTTTTGAGGAGTCTCGCTCTGTCGCCCAGGCTGGAGTGCAATGGCATGATCTCGGCTCACTAACACCTCCACCTCCTGGGCTTAAGCGATTCTCATGCCTCAGCCTTCCAAGTAGCTGGGATTACGGGTGCACACCACCAGGCCCAGCTAATTTTTGTATTTTTAGTAGAGACAGGGTTTCGTCATGTTGGCCAGGCTGGTCTCGACCTCCTGACCGCAAATGATCCGCCTGCCTTGGCCTCAAAGCCTTGGGATTACAGGCATGAGCTACCACGCCTGGCAATATTTTGGTAGATTTTTATTAAATGTCTAACTTGATGAGACAATTAAATGTAATGATTGATATTTGCAATATTAAAACACTCTCAGTCATGATTAATTGCTACTCTAATAAAGCATGCATAACTTTGTTCCAAAAGAGAACTGCAATGACTAGCAATTTATTTAGCATACTGGCCTGTATTTGATATGAGATAGGCCAATATTCTATGTGTTAATGACAAGTGTTATGGTTTGAATATAAGTGTTCCCCAAATCTGTATGTCGAATCCTAATTACCAAGGTGATGATATTTGGAGGTGGGACCTTTTGGAGGTTATTAGATATCAGGCAGAGTCCTCCATCAATGGGAGTGGTGTCTCTACAAAAGAGGCTCAAAGGAGCTTGCTTGAGCCTTCTACCAAATGAAGACACAGCAATAAAGCACTATCTATGAGAAAGCTGTCACTTGACACTGAATCTGCTGGCACCTTGATCTTGGAATTCCCAGGTTCCAGACCATGAGAAATAAATTTCTTTTGTTTATAAGCTACCCCATTTATGGTAGTTTTATATAGCACGCTGGATGGACAATGACAACACATTAATGTTGACTATTATGGCTGAACTGGATTTTATAATACATTGAGCTGCTTTCTATCTTTTACTACTTTTGAGAAGATCTTTTTAACATAATAACTGCTTATTCTTTATCAGTTCTAAATAGAATTTCTACCTTTTAAAAAAAATAGCATTTCAAGACAAAATGAAATCTCAAAAAACTCTTGATTTATAATTGAATACTGAAAACACACGTCATTTTTCCCCTTTACAACTCCAATAAAATAAATTTTAAAAATTTTACAGACGTAGGACGGGTGTGGTGGCTCACGCCTGTAATCCCAGCACTTTGGGAGGCCGAGGTGGGCCGATCATGAGGTCAGGAGCTCGAGACCAGCCTGGCCAATATGATGAAACCCTGTTTCTACTAAAAATACAACAATTAGCCAGGCGTGGTGGAGTGCGCCTGTAGTCGCAGCTACTTGGGAGGCTGAGGCAGAAAAATTGCTTGACCCCAAAGGCGGAGGTTGCACTGAGCCGAGATTACGCCACTGCACTCCAGCCTGGGCAACAGTGCGAGACTCAAGAAAAAAAAAAATTTACAGACATAAACTGACAAGGAGAAAAAAAGAAGAGATCATACCAACAAAGTATGCAAGATGACCACAAAATAAACTTGTGATGAACAGCAAGCCCCGAAAAAAGATAAATCCCAAAATGATTTAGCATAAGAGTAAGATCAACATCTAACACTCACACACAAAAAAACAAAAGGAAGAAAGAAAAGGAACAGTGCCTTAGAAATCAGCAACACCTTAACCAATAGCATAGAAACATTATAGGCTCAGAAATTAAAAGGTTAAGGAGAGAAGAAAAAGAGAAAAAAATGAAGCACTATATAATTGCTAACCTTTTCTAAGTTTGATAAAAGTTATAATCTCACAGATCTAAGAAGGTAAACTAAACCCAGATCTCAAACAGAAAGAAAGGCAGACTCATAATCAAAATGCTGAAAATCACTGTTAAAGAAAAATCTTTATATCCTTTTTTTTTTCCCCGTCGTTGGCTGTAAAGGACAAAAGATAAGGAAAACCACCAATTCAGGTCACAAACTTTGCAAGCCAAATAATAACAGAACAACAATTTTAAAGTTCTAAAACAGAAGTGTCTGTTCATATCCTTTGCCCACTTTTTGATGGGGTTGTTTTTTTCTTGTAAATTTGAGTTCTTTGTAGATTCTGGATATTAGCCCTTTGTCAGATGAGCAGATTGCAAAAATTTCCTCCCATTCTGTAGGTTGCCTGTTCACTCTGATGGTAGTTTCTTTTGCTGTGCAGAAGCTCTTTAAATAGATCCCATTTGTCTATTTTGGCTTTGTTGCCATTGCTTTTGGTGTTTTGGACATGAAGTCCTTGCCCATGCCTATGTCCTGAATGGTATTGCCTAGGTTTTCTTCTAGGGTTTTTATGGTTTTAGGTCTTAAGTCTTTAATCCATCTTGAATTATTTTTTGTATAAGGTGTAAGGAAGGGATCCAGTTTCAGCTTCCTACATATGGCTAGCCAGTTTTCCCAGCATCATTTATTAAATAGGGAATCCTTTCCCCATTGCTTATTTTTGTCAGGTTTGTCAAAGAACAGATGGTTGTAGATGTGTGGTATTATTTCTGAGGGTTCTGTTCTGTTCCACTGGTCTATATCTCTGTTTTGGTACCAGTACCATGCTGTTTTGGTTACTATAGCCTTGTAGTATAGTTTGAAGTCAGGTAGCATGATGCCTCCAGCTTTGTTCTTTTGGCTTAGGATTGTCTTGGCAATGCGGGCCCTTTTTTGGTTTCATATGAACTTTAAAGTAGTCCAATTCTGTGAAGAAAGTCATTGGTAGCTTGAGGGGATGGCACTGCATCTATAAATTACCTTGGTCAGTATGGCCAGACACTTCTCAAAAGAAGACATTTATGCAGCCAAAAGACACATGAAAAAATGCTCATCATCACTGGCCATCAGAGAAATGCAAATCAAAACCACAATGAGATACCATCTCACACCAGTTAGAATGGCGATCATTAAAAAGTCAGGAAACAACAGCTGCTGGAGAGGATGTGGAGAAATAGGAACACTATTACCCAGTTGGTGGGACTGTAAACTAGTTCAACCATTGTGGAAGACAGTGTGGCGATTCCTCAGGGATCTAGAACTAGAAATACCATTTGACCCAGCCATCCCATTACTAGGTATATACCCAAAGGATTATAAATCATGCTGCTATAAAGACACATGCACACATATGTTTATTGTGGCACTATTCACAAGAGCAAAGACTTGGAACCAACCCAAATGTCCATCAATGATAGACTGGATTAAGAAAATGTGGCACATATACACCATGGAATACTATGCAGCCATAAAAAAGGATGAGTCCATGTCCTTTGTAGGGACATGGATGAAGCTGGAAACCATCATTCTCAGCAAACTATCACAAGGACAAAAATCCAAACACCGCATGTTCTCACTCATAGGTGGGAATTGAACAATGAGAACACTTGGACACAAGAAGGGGAACATCACACACCGGGGCCTGTCATGGGGTGGGGGGAGGGGGGAGGGATAGCATTAGGAGATATACCTAATGTAAATGACAAGTTAATGGGTGCAGGACACCAACGTGGTACGTGTATACATTTGTAACAAACCTGCGCGTTGTGCACATGTACCCTAGAACTTTAATTTAAAAAAAAAGAGTTTATGAGACTTGGATGTTAATAAGGACTCAATCTCATGATTTCCTTTTTAATAAATAAGAGTTTATAAGACTTGGATGTTAATTAAAAAAAAAAATAAAGTTCTGAAAGAGGATAAAAAACCTCATGACCTAGAATTTGATGTCCAGTGAAAATATCCATCAACAATGAAGGCAAAATAAACATTTTTAGAGAAACTTTTTTCTAGACAAAAAAAGCTTGAGAAAATTTGTCACCAGAAGACCGAGAGTACAAAGCTTTAAAGGAAGTTTATTAGAAAGAAGGGTCTGAAAAGGCCGGGCGCAGTGGGTCACCCCTGTAATCCAAGGACTTTGGACGGCCAAGGGGGGAGGATAGCTTGAGACCAGGAGTTAAATAACCAGCCTGGGCAACATGGCAAAACCCTGTCTCTACAAAAAATACAAAAATCAGCTGGGCATGATGGCCGGCACCTGTAGTCCCAGCTACTCCGGAGACTCAGGTGGCAGGATCACCTGAGAACGGGAGGTTAAGGCTGTGGTGAACTGTGATTATGCCACTTCACTCTAGCCTGGGTGACAGAGTGAGACCCTGTCTCAAAAAAATAAATAAATAAAAACAAAGTAACAGAAAGAAAGGGGGAAAAGAAACAAAATAGAAACTCAGATCTGTGCACAGGAATGAAAAGTGTCAGAAGTGCTAAATATGTGCTAAAAGAGAAAATGAAGAGATGGGACAAACAGAAAATATTTACATTGAATGCAAATAATCTAAACACTAAAATGTAGACACCAACAGAATGAACAAAAAAAGCAAAATTCAACAATTAAGAAAAATGTTAATCTCAAAAAGATTTCAACTTTAAAAATAGGCATATTTTTTCAGAGAAAAAAGAGCTCTTAGATATTAAAAGCATGACAGTAGAAATGAAAAACTCAGTAGAAAGACTGCAAAATAATGTTGAGAACATCTCTCAGGAACTTGAGTTAAAACTTAAAAAGAAAAAAGAAACATAGAAAAGATAAATTAGGAAGAGTCTTACAGGCAAAACATCTAGATAATGGATATGTTCCATAAGGAGAGAAAATGATAAAATACAATACAAGAAATCTATGAACCATTTCAAGAAAATTTCTCCAGACTGAAAAATATAATGTGCCAAACTGAAAGGGTCCAGTGCTAAATACCTAAACATGTAAATACTGAAGCACCCATCACAATCATTGATAAAAGACCTATACTCAGGCCCAGAACACTAAGAAAAAAGTGAAGACTGATTAATGTCTGTAAGAAAAAATACTACATGTTGGCTGGGCATGGTGGCTCATGTCTGTAATACCAGCACTTTGGGAGGCCTAAGTGGGCAGAAAGCTTGAGCTCAAGAGTTTGAGATGAGCCTAGGCAACATGGTGAAACCCTGTCTCTACTAAAAATACAAAAAATTACCCAGGGATGGTGGCACCCACCTGTAGCCCCAGCTACTCAGGAGGCTGAGGTGGGAGAATCACTTGAACATGGACGTTGCAGTAAGCCAAGATCCTGCCACTGCACTCCAGCCTGGGTGACAGAGGGAGACTATCTCAAAAACAACAACAACAACAACAACAACAACAAAAGATACACTGCATGTAAAAAGTATCGGAATTCAGAATTCAACAGCAATGATGAAAGCAAGAAACAATGGAGAAGTACCTCTAAAATTGTGCAACAAAATTATTTCCAACTTAGAATTCTTTACCCAGCTAATTTATCATTTGGGTATGAAAACATGAGATACATGTTTAATGATGCAAGGAATAAAAAACATTCCTCTGTCAGTTTTCTCACAAGAAACCACTGAATAGAACACTCCCTGTACTCCAGAAACACACACACAAAGACAACCAATAACGAGAAAGGTATGGATCATGGAAACAGAATATCCAACACAGGAGAGAAGAGAATTACCAGAAGGATGATAAAAGATATCACACAATCACTGCTGTGCACCAAATTTGAGGACAATTAGTAAGATCAGTGTGACTTTGGAAAAATGCATTGAGGGTTATCATGACCAAGACCCCTGCTGCCACTGTACTATCTTCTCTATGTTACAAAAGAATGGACGACGAATCTGGCCCAGATTCTTATTTGTACTTGGATTGTCTTTACCAAGTGCTAGTGAGATTCCTGCTCTCACCTCCATGTCCTACTGCTTGAATCAGTAGAGGACATCCATTTCATCCTAAAGAAGAAATTCTGCTTTGATCTACTCCTGAGAGTTATGGTAGATCATGAAGAGCTTAGAAAAAGAAAATACAAATTCTATGAAGATACTACTGTTGGATATTCCAGTATTTTTATCAACATTTTAGCAATAGGATGTGTCTTAACTGCGCTGATACATACACTTGAGAACCTTCCCACTGATATCCCCAAATTAGGCTGTATACATCTGTAGGGAAGGTTTATAACTTGTCATCTTCTGCAATCCTTTATCTAATAGTAGCTACATGTCCCTTTTTCTTTATCCACTAGGTTTGTGGTTGCCAAACTGTTTCACAAAACTAAATAAAAACATACATGGAGGTAAGACTATAAAGAACACTAAAAAAACAAATTCAAAAATCAAGACAGTGTTAAGGAGAAGTGGAAATGATGTTATTGGGTAGGACACAATACTAGCTTCTACTAGTGTTCTAGTTCTTAATCTGGATGGTAGGTACGTGGATTTTCACTTTATTATTTTCATACACTCTACGCACAATATATTTCAACCTAACCAAAGCAGATACATTTGGATCCAGAAATTCCATAATGAGGTATTTATCCAACATACATGAAATAATGTAGAGACAAAGATATTCTCTGTCACATTGTTTGTAATAGCAAAATAATGAAAACAATCTAAATGTCCATTAATAGAGAACAAGAAAAATGAATCAAGTTATTACTATATAGTGAACTATGCAGATCTCAAAAAGAATGAGGTAACTTTCTACATGAACTAACATGAAATGTTTTCTAAGATAATGATATGCCCTACAAGCAAACAGAACAGTAAAAATAGAATTCTACCATTTGTGCTTTAAATATATATATACATATACATCTATATAGCACATATATATGTATATATATTCTTACATTATATCTTGGTATCTCTGGAAAGAGATAAGAAACATATATATTAAATATCAGATATATACCTATAAAAGATATCAGAAATATATATATACACATATACATATACATATATATATATTAGGCCTACATGAAAAATTTCTTAAGATACTTTTGGTAGGCAAGGAGAGATGCACAGGTGAGACACGAAGGTGTGTTATTTTTATATTCTCAGAAAAAATGGAAATGTAATACATGAAAAAAACTATTGGGTTAAAGTGGATGAGTAGTATATGGAAATTTAAAGTTATCAAAAATTCCCAAATTGCTTATGAAATAAATTTCAAGAAGTTTTTTATGGTCACATCAAAAGTCTAAAATAGAATTTTTTGAGAAACAAATGAAGAATTTTTTGCAAATAGCATCTGAAGCAACTCTCAGCATCTTCTTACCTAAGAATCAATGGTACTAAAGGGAGGGGAGGGTGAAGGGAGCCATGAACATGGATGGTGGACCTTCAAAGTAAAGGTTCAAAGTTGCTGCTATGGTTTGAATTTTTTTGTTCTCTCTGAAAATTCATGTTGAACATTAATCTCCAATGCAACAGGTTTTAGATGTGGGGTCTTTGGAGAGGCCATGAATGAATTAATGCCATTATAAAAGGGTCTGATGGAGGGAGTCTGTTCATTTTTTACCCTTCCACCCTCTGCCTGTGAGGAGGCAGCATTCAAGGTGCCACTTTGAAAGCAGAGAGGAGCCCTCACCAGATGCTGGTACCCTGATCTTGGACTTCCCAAATTCTGTTCTTTACCTAGTCTGTAGTATTGTTACAGCAACACAAGACAAACCAAGACAGTTGCTATATGATATAACCAAGAAAGAAAAGAAAAGGAGAATAAAAGAAAAGGAAAGGAGAAAAGAGAAAGAGAAAGAGAAAAAGAAAGAAAGAGAGAAAGAGAAAGAGAAAATTTGAATTGAAAGGCTTACCAGGAAACTCTCCTTTTCGGTTGCTTTGACCAAACTCCTGAAGCTGAGCTTGTTGATTTATTTGTTCTTTCTGTAAATTTTCATACCAATGAGTTACTTCAGCCCTAAGATCTGCTACCTGGTCACTAGGATACATTTCAATAGTCATCTGAAATATGAGATGCAACCAATTTAAAAATACAAAAAGAACAGATATTTGACCTGGGAAATGTTATCAACTTCGAAATTAAAACTATGTAAGTACCTTGTCAGGAAGTCCAGCTGGCTGGCATACAACCCTTAGCGGCAGAGACTGTTTGTCACTCAGTGCTTTCAAATGACTACTAATACCAGTGCCTTCAATTTGCCACTGTCTCAGATGATATGCAAACCTAAAACATGACACAAACAACACATAGAAAGGATACCATTTTAAACCATTTTAATGTTACGCAAATTTTTATCATCTTACAGACTGGAAAAGTCCAAAAGAAGTTCTAAGTTCATTCCAATGTATTCTACAGCAACAAATTTAAGTTCAGATTCATCATACTGAATCAAACGTAACTGCATAATAACAGCTAAGAGCTCCTAACAAAATAGTCACCACGAGAAATTACTGAGGAAAAAAAAAATCTCCTTAAGGCCAGTTTATTATTTTTTTAATAAAGAGAGTAGAAATATTAATAGGAGAGATAGGAGGAATTAAAAAAAAAAAACTAATCCAGCAAATGAAATAGCAAGCTGTGATTCCTGCATTCAGAAGGAAAAAAGATATTAAGAAAAAATTTTCAGGGACAGAAACATTCTGGTAAATATATACTAACGAGCCTAATAGAATTTGAGAGTCAATTCATGGCTGTTAAAATTATAAAGTGAATTACAAAGACTTGTATTTCAAAGGAAACAGGCACCTAGCATGATAATCACTAAACACGTGTCAATTTTCTAATTTTCAGATGTGGAAGACAGGATCCAAGGTACCTGAGTTTAAAAAAAAAAAAAAAAGTCTAAAACTAATCAGCAAATTTGGAATAGAAGGATAAAAAGTGAGGGAATGAATGAACTTGTCTAATTTCCACATGATCCAATGTATGAGCAAAAGAGTAACCTTAAAACAATGTTTCCTGTTACATATTCAAGACCAGAGTTTCTCCACAGTGGCACTACTGACATTTTAAGCCCAATTAATAATTTGTTGTTATCAGAAGGCAGAAGAATAGGGGTGAAGGAGGCTGTATCTCATGCTCTGATGTTCAGCAGCATCTCACCAGATACCAATAACATGCTCTCTTGCTGTGATTATCAGAAGTGTCTCCAGGGATTACGTACTATGTCTTGGGAAACAAAAACACTTCTGGCTGAGAACCACTGTTTAAGATTATAACTTTATCTCTTTTTAAAAAGTAAACAAATTAAGACATTATTGTTTATTCCCTTAATACACAGAACACAAAGAACAATTATATTTTCAATCTACAGATGTTAGGCAATTTTCAATTAATAATAGCACTAAGCACATCAAGAACAAAATTTTGCATGAAAAATACCTAAGTAAATTTTTTTTAAACTACTGCTTAGTTTTGTGACTCTTCAATTTTATCCATATCCTAGTTATTGTACTAGTAACAAAAAATTTTTATATAAACTATTTAACATCAACATTAACTTTTAGCATAAAACATGAACAAATAAAAAGATATCAAGGACATAACAATTTTTTTTTTCACAACAGAAAAAAATTTGTACATCTGAGAAGGAATTTTTGGACTTAAATTCATTAAATTTATAAAACCACCACTGAATGCTCAAAAAACAAATACATTTTTAAAGACTTAAAATAAGCACTTATTTTAGACATTGGTAATGCTGTGCAAGGACTAAGGGTGTGAATCAACAGGACCTTGTTGGTTTGTTGAAGATCCCACAGCATAGAAAAAATTTTAGAAGTATGGGTATCATTAACAGTATCTCCACGAGGAAGACAGAAATTATAGCAGACTTTCATTTTCTACATCACAGTGTAATATCTGAATTTTATAATACGTATTAATTAATTTGAATAAGTTACACCACATTTGCTCTTTTTAAAATTTTATTTTTTTAAGTGGTTAAAGTTATAAGGCAGTAAGAAGTTTCTGTGTAAAAAAATGAGTTCCTTTCCACATTCATTAAAAACACAAGGAATTCTTTAAGCAGAATTTCCATGAATTGCAATCTTAAAGAATTCTGTAATGTCCAAATGTTTCAAATCATGGAAGCATGTTATTTATAAGGAATGTATAAAATATCTTTACTATGCAATCTTTCTTGATATTTTAAAAATGTCAATAAATATCACTTGTATCACTTCAATATCAAACTAAGATCTGAAGTTGAAAAAAGTTACTAACTTTAACAATTTTTTTCAACACAGTTCTTAGTACTTTTACATTTGCTCATAATTTTTAACAAATAGAATTTCTTAAAACTATCTACTCACCTTTCATTTCAGTCGATATATTCATAAATATTAATTTGCTTTATTTCTGTATTACACAGGTTATGTCTAAATTAATTATACAGATATTCATTAACAGAATTTTTTGGTCATGTTTCCATGGTAAATGGAAATTCAAAATTAAAATACTGTCTCCTAGTCCAGGAAGAAAAAAAAAACAGCAAATGAAACATATGACTCAACTTGATTCAACTATGAGATTATTTGATGTTCTTGGTAAGAGTTTTAGAGAAACTTTTTTTAGTAGTGGTGTTCTGCCTTTTTAATCAAAGTCAATACTTTATCTTAGAGATGGAATTCTGTCTAACAATTCTTATTCATGCATATCTGCTCAAACTCTATTATTAAAGGTGTGCAATATTTATCAGGAACCCGTATTGCCTATTCCAAGGCAAAATGGTATATATTCTTAATAAAAATTACTTATGTTACTGATCCTTCACTTTGGTAAATTATGCTTTCTACTTGACCCCAACAAAAACTTTAGATTCACTTTAAGAATATTTCTGGATATGTCAGGAATAAAAATGAAATTCATTCTAACAGTGTGATATTTTAAAAATTACCTTCTCCTAAACGCTTCCAGATGTGTCTTCAGCATAAGGAGTCCTCTTTCTATAACCATGAGACTTGAGTGTGATTCCTGTTCAAGACTGCTAGAAGCTATCATAAGACTCTCCATGCACTTACTAATAAATTCTTGCTCCTTCTCCAAACCTGTTTTACCTGAAAGCCAAATGTTTAGACACATATATTAGCCTTATATTCTTGTTTAGCTATATCAAAGAAAAATTTTAGTTTCACAAAACACCCTCACATAGAAATTACCTATCAGACAATGTTTCAAATCACTTACCATTAATATAATAGGAGTTAATATACTGGATAGCTGCTCGACTGACATCACCAGATTGTGCTCTTAAAGCAATGCCCCAAAATTGGTCCATACCACACAGCTAAGAAAGAAAAATATGGTATCTCTAAATTTTGTTTGTCAAACTATGTAACTCATTAAGACTGAAGTATCAAAAGTAAAAATCATAGGCAACTCCTATTATTCAGCTATTAAATAATAAAAATAAATGATTTAAAAATTTCCTCAATTGATGAAATACACCTGTACTAGTTCTAAAAAATATTTATACAGCAGATAACAATATATACATGTTTAACTCACAAGTTGTGACTACATAGTACGAAAATTCTAGTCCTGAAAAACATACTATAAAGGAATAAAACCAACACAATAACGAGCACAATGCTTCAATGAATCCATCCAACCTAAACTGAGAAAACCACTGCTTTCTTGTATTCACAGAAAATTAACAACATATGCTAACTCAAGTTCTCACCCAATTTTTTTTTTTTTTTGAGAACAGAGTCTCACTCACTTGCCCAGGCTGGAGTGCAGTGGCGCAATCTTGGCTCACTGCAACCTCTGCCTCCCAGGTTTCCAAGGATTCTCATGCCTTAGCCTCCTAAGTAGCTGGGATTACAGGCATGCGCCACAACATCTGGCTAATTTTTTTGTATTTTAGTAGAGACAGGGTTTCACCATGTTGGCCAGGCTGGTCTCGAACTCCCAACCTCAGCTGATCCACCCGCCTCAGCCTCTCAAAGAGGTGGAATTACAGGTGTGAGCCACTGCGTCCAGCCTCATTCAAATTTATGATGTCAACCATGAGATGACAACAAAAAATGTTTTCACTAAAAACTACAGAAAAAGTGGCGAGTGGAAGCTTCCAAAAGTTGGGCAGAGTAAAGAAAGATTTCCTTCTAAATTGGCAGCTAAACAACTTTAGTGTTAATGTCACCTACTTTAAAAAGGTAAACTTATTTCATAACAGAGCACGACTACTTCAGTTGTCTGAAATTACCAAATTGAAAATTATCATAGTGGGCCGTGTGGAGTGGCTCACGCCTCTAATTGCAGCACTTTGGGAGGCTGAGGCAGGCAGACTGCCTGAGCTCAGGAGTTCGAGACCAGCCTGGCCAACACGGTGAAACCCTGTCTCTACTTTAAAAAAAAAAAAAAAAAAAAATTAGCCAGGCAGGCATGCGCCTATAATCCCAGCTACTCGGGAGGTTGAAGCAAGAGAATTGGTTGAACCTGGGAGGCGGAGGTTGCAGTGAGCCAAGATTGTGCCACTGCACTCCAGCAGTTATCAGAGTGATACTGAAGCAAGGGTTAGGACTAAAAAAACTGAAAAAACCTATTCAGACAAGAAAAGAAGGCAGTAGGAAAATAAAATAAAAGCATTTTAGATACAATTAAAATTATTCTGGCCAGCCGTGGTGGCTCGTACCTATAATCCCAGCACTTTGGGAGGCCAAGGCGGGTGGAAAACTTGAGGTCAGGAGTTCGAGACTAGTCTGGTCAACGTGGTGAAAACCCAACTCTACTAAAAATACAAAAATTAGCTGGGCGTGGTGGTGCATGCCTGTTGTCCCAGCTACTCAAGAGGCTGAGGCATGAGAATCGCTTGAACCCAGGAGGTGGAGGTTGCAGTGAGCTGAGACTGTGCCACTGCACTCCAGCCTGGGCGACAGAGCCAGACACCATCTCAAAAAAAATAATCATAATGGCCTGGTGCAGTGGCTCATGCCTGTAATCCCAGCAGTTCGGGAGGCCAAGGCGGGTGGATCACCTGACGTCAGGAGCTCGAGACCAGCCCCGCCAACATGGTGAAACCCCACCTATACTAAAAATACAAAAATTAGTCAGGCATGGTGGTGCACCCCTGTAATCCCAGATACTTCGGGAAGCTGAGGCATGAGAATTGCTAGAACCCGGGAGGTGGCGGTTGCAGTGAGCTGAGATCACACCACTGCACTCTGGCCTGGGTGACAGAGCCAGACTCCATCTCAAAAAATAATAATAATAAAAATTTTTAAAAATAATTCTTTTTCCTTTTTAAAAAAATTTCCCCAAACTTGCTAAGAGATACAAGTATTCTTTTTTCTTCAGATGGAGTCTTGCTTTGTTGCCCAGGCTGAACCAAATGGCATAAAAATCATATCTGAGACAAATCAATCTTTTATTTGAAGTAAAATATTTGGCTGTATTATCTAGGAATGTCTAGGAGACTCAAAGAACACTGACATGGCCACTTCTTTATAAATCAAGAAACATGTAATAGATTTTCATTAAGCACACCCAATGTTATCTTTCATACTGAAAAATAAATTTGCTTCATAAAACTTTTGAAACCAGAGAACAGAATTGGGCTGAGCACGTTGGCTCATGCCTGTAATCCCAGCACTTTGGGAGGCCAAGGCAGGCAGATCACTTAAGGTCAGGAGTGCAAGACCAGCCTGAGTAACATGGTAAAACCCTGTCTCTACCAAAAATACAAAAATTAGCCAGGCATGGTGGCAAATGTCTGTAATCCCAGCTACTTCGGGGGCTGAGGCTAGAGAATCTCTTGAATCTGGGAGGTGGAGGTTGCAGTGAGCTGAGATCACACCACTGCACTACAGCCTGAGCAACAGAGATAGACTCCATCTCAAAACAAACCCAACTGCACTGCACAGGTAGTAAATTCTATACTTTGTAGAAAAATAATTTGGAAACCGAATTTGATAATCTAATTTGAGGAATAAAGTTGCCTAATAAAGTAAGTCTAAATCCATACCTCAGAATTTGAACAACCATCATAGGCACTGGTAGCCAATCGAGCCAAGTTACAGAGATGCTGAAACAGGTTTAAGCCAGTCATGCTAATTGTTTCAGGTTTTAGCTGGGGCATCTTTGGAAGGGTAGGGGGAAACACAAAGCTAATTTAGTGTGGTAATTCACAGATTTTATTAAATTTAAATAAACTTTACTGAAAACACTGTAGAAGGAAACAGATCAGTTTGAATTTTTAGTGATAATTTTAAAAAATAAAAATATATAATAATTTTGCTGGGCACGGTGGCTCAGTACTTTGGAAAGCCAAGGCAGGCAGATCGCTTGAGCTCAGGAGTTTTGAGACCAGCCTGGGCAACATGGCGAAATCTCATCTCTATGAAAACTACAAAAATCAGCCGGGCATGGTGGTGTGTGGCTGTAGTCCCAACTACTCGGGAGGCTGTAGTGGGAGAATTGCTTGAGCCTGGGAGGTCAAGGCTACAGTGAGACGTGATCACACTACTGCACTCCAGCCTTGGAGACAGAGCAAGCCCATCTCAAAAAAAAAAAAAAAAATGAAAATATATATGTGATTTAATGAACATTTTATTCAGGTAATAACTGAAATGTGTCTGATACAGGCTTCAATTTTGAAGATGTACATAGACCCAAATCAGAGGACATAAATAAAGACAACTATCATGCATTGTATACCTATACTAAACAAACTTATGAGAGGTATAGCTACAAGTACAGTTTTTGTTAAAGTCAGAGGTCGAAATTTAAGATGGCAAAAGTTATATTTGTAGCTCTGTCTTGGGTCTGTTAAGTGATTTAGTTTATACACACTAAAACTCATTCATATATATACTCAGTTCCAACATGGAGATAACGTCACACTTTGCAGAGAGACTTCATAATCTCAAAAATAAGCATAAAAAAGTCTTACTGCATTATTTTCACTGAGTTTCAAAATTCAATTGGGAATAGTTCATTCAGAAAAATGTCACCTGAACTGTGGCATGTGGTAAAGAAGAAGAAAAATTGGAACATCTTTACGATAATGACAACACTTCTTAATATGCCTTCCCACAATCTACACATCTGGAGAATGGCTTATCTTTGCCCAAAAGACTGACTGCAATGACAGTTATTTAAATCATGAAGAGTCACAGAAAACAGCTCTCACACTTGTGGGTGTGGGCACCACCCCTGAAAATTGGACTACAATATTACTGATTATTTCAAAAAAACAAACACTAAGAAAATTAGTGCTGCCTTCAAAAGTTATTGTAATTGTTGAATTATTGTAGCTAATAGAACATTTTTATAAATATAAACTATTAATTTAGAGGTAAACAGTGTAAACAACAAAATTAGAGCACAATCTGACCAAAAATTATATTAGGACTGCTAAAATTCATTACATTTGGCTACTTAAAAAAACTGTCAAAAAAAAAAAGGCATTACAGAATTCGTATTTCAAGAGATGAAAAAGGGAACATGGAAAAATAATAACAAACTGAGAGAAATGTAATTACCTTCTCCAGGAAAAGATGTTTGTAGGTTTCCATACCCATAGCATGTTGATCTTTACTTCGAACTTGATTTAAAAACCAATGGAGTGCATCATCATAACATTCAGAATCTTCTACTAAACAATGCCATAAGATGTCAACTTGCTCTAAACTTAACCCTAGATAAAAATTATAAATTTTATACTTTATTAACTACATACAAAAAAATTAAACTTCTCTTAGGCATGTGTATGTACAGTAAGTCCTCACTTAACACAGATAGGTTCTTGGAAATTGCAATTTTAATTGAAATGATGCATAATGAAACTAACTTTACCATATGTTAATTGATATAAATAAGAGTTATGTTCCTACAGCATATTTATGATTAAAAAAAAAAAAAAGAATCACAGCAGCCAGGTGAAGTGGCTCCCATCTGTAATCCTAGCACTTTGGGAGGCCGAGGTGGGTGGACTGCCTGAGCTTGGGAGATCCAGACCAGCCTGGCCAACATGGTGAAACGCTGCCTCTATTAAAATACAAAAAATTAGCTGGGCATGGTGGCGTGTGCCTGTAATCTCAGTTACTCAGGAGGCTGAGACAGGAGAATTGCTTGAACCTGGGAGGTGAAGGTTGCAGTGATACAAGATCGGCCACTGCACTCCAGCCAGGGCAACAGCGCGAGATTCCATCTCAAAAAAACCAAAAAAAATTCACTAAACTTTCTTATTTAGAAGTTAACACTTTGAATATTAAACACTGGAATAAATGTGAGCTATATATACATTTAAGAAAGATTAATACAAACCACTAAGATAGTTATTTATCCAGTTTTTGGCGAATCGGTGGTGGTAGATGAAATCAAGGACTAAATGGTTACAAATTAAACACACTAAGGAGCACTTCCTACCACCAGACAGTTTAAACACAAACAATAACAAATTCAGTGGGCTCGCTTTTGTACCACATCATTTATGGCTATGCATTTCTACGAATATGATAGAGCTTACAAATTTCTATGTTACAATTTGTATTCATTCATTTGCTCATTTTCCAACTCGCTTATTCCAGTTCAGGGTTGTGGGTGGCCAAATCGTATCCCAGCATCTCAGGGACTAGTATCTTAAGGACAGGGCAGTAACTAACCTTGACCAGGAAGCCATTCCATTGCAGATTGCCCTCATACACACACCCATACTCATTCAGATTGGGATCATTTAGACATGCCAATGAATCCACAGTGCATGTCTTTGGGATGTGGGAGGAAACCAGGGTACCCAGAGAAAACCCATGCAGACATGGGGAGAATGTGTAAATTCTGCACAGGCAGTGGCCCGGGCCAGGAATCAGTTTTTTTCCTCATTAATGTTAAAACATTATTTGATGACCTACTGTAGTTTATTTATATAAAAGTGTATAAAATATTTACTATCTCATCCAGGCGCAGTGGCTTACACATGTAATCCAGCACTTTGGGAGGCTGAGGTGGGAGAATCACTTGTGGCCATGAGTTTGAGACCGGTCTGGGCAATATAGGAAGACATTGTCTTTACAAAAAATTAAAAAACAAAAATTTGTAGGCTGGGCGTGGTGGCTCACGCCTGTAATCCCAGCCCTTCGGGAGGACGAGGTGGGTGGATCACCAAAGGTCAGGAGTTCAGAACCAGCCTAGTCAACATGGTGAAACCCCGTCTCTACTAAAAATACAAAAATTAGCCAGGCGTGGTGGTGGGTGCCTGTAATCCCAGCTACTCGGGAGGATAAGGCACGAGAATCGCTGGAACCCGGGAGGTGGAGGTTGCAGTGAGCTGAGGCCTCACCACTGCACTCCATCCTGTGCGACAAGAGCAAGACTCCGTGTCAAAAACAAACAAAAAAGTAGCTGGGCAGGGTGGCACGCACCTTTAGTCCTAGCTACTTGGGAGGCTGAGGTGGGAAGGCTCTTCGAGCCCAGGAGTTCAAGGCTGCCCTGAACTATGATCATGCACTTCAGCCTGGATGACAGAGCGAGACTGTCTCTTTAAAAAAAAAAACAAAAAAATGGCCAGGCGCAGTGGCTCATGCCTGTAATCCCAGCACTTTGGGAGGCTGAGGCAGGCAGATCATGAGGTCAGGAGATCAAGACCATCCTGGCCAACATGGTGAAACCCTGTCTCTACTAAAAATACAAAAATTAGCTGGGTGTGGTGGCACATGCCTGTAGTCCCAGCTGCTCGGGAGGCTGAGGCAAGAGAATTGCTTGAACCTGGGAGGTGGAGGTTGCAGTGAGCCAAGATTTGCGCCACTGCTCTCCAGCCTGGTGACAGAGTAAGACTCCGTCTCAAAACAAAAAACAAAACAAAACTATCTCAATAAGTATTTCTTATGTCATCCTATTTGTAAAATTTAAAATCACATTCATACAACATTTTGGCCCTAAATGAATGTACCAGAAACACCAATATAGCCAGAAACACAAAGGAGATATCTTACAGCCTTTTACAAGTATTTAATACGAATTTTCACATAATTTATGTTTTTAAAATGTAGTTTAAGATAACCCATATGTAAATCACCTAAAAATACACAACTTACGAAGTATTCTCAAAGAACCCATTTAGGAAGAAAATTCTTCTCCCTAAAATAGGAGCACATCCGTATAATAGTAAAAATGATTGGGGGAGGTAATCCTAAAAATTGAGGAATCAGTGGTTAAGGTTTGAGTATTATAAATAGAGTGTATACCATGTTCAAAGGTCATTCTCTGTATATAGGAGATAAATAAGTAAGCATTATTTTTGTAAAATATGAAAAAAGGAGGCCGGGCACGGTGGCTCACACCTGTAATCCCATCACTTTGGGAGGCCGAGGTGGGTGGATCACCTGAGGTCGGGAGTTCGAGACCAGCCTGACCAACATGAAGAAACCCCATCTCTACTAAAAATACAAAAAATTAGCTAGGCGTGGTGGCGCATGCCTATAATACCAGCTACTCGGGAGGCTGAGGCAGGAGAATCGCTTGAACCAGGGAGGTGGAGGTTGCGGTGAGCCAAGATCACGCCAATGTACTCCAGCCTGTGTGACAAGAGCAAGACTCTGTCTCAAAACAAAACAAAGACAAAGAAAAAAAGAAAAAAGGACCCTTATGATGAAGAAAGCAAAAGGAAACTGCCTAAAACAGACAACAGCAACATATCAGAGGACATAATCAGCTAGGGAGTCAGGCTAATGAGAGAAAATCTGTACTGTACCCAATTATTATTAAAGGATGCCCCAGTGTGGCAGAAGACAGACGAACTATTCAGAACAAAAGGGAAGGCATTATAGGCAATCACAAGTACGAGTATGAAAAAAATTAGACAGTCCAAAAGGTTAGAACAAAACATCCCAGGGATTTCTGAAGTACATTTTAAGAGGTTCCAAACCCTGGGGTGGTGCCCTAGAACCAGAAGGGGCATGATGGTATGGTACCATCAAAAGAAATTTCTTTTATTGGGAAAAGTAGATGAAATGACAAAATACAGAAAAATTCCTCAGAAATATTCACCCTAGTAGCAGTATCAGTCTAAAGAGTTTTATCAGAAAAAAGTTATCCTATCAGTTTCTCACTGAAACAGTTAATGTGTAGATTATTTGTTCTGAGAACTTGTGCCCATAGAAGCAAATATAAATAAACCCAAAACAATTTTAGTATATATCAGAACTTAAACACATTAATTAAGGAGAACAAGATAAAGAGTATCCAGGTTAATTATAGTCAACTAAATAAAAAAACAGAAGTATATCCATAATTGGCTGAATCACCAATCCACATTCAATGAGCAACTTAAACACTTTTGTTATTTTTTAAAAGACTATAGTTATTGTCATATTGAAAATCAGTATTAAAATATTGGATGTAATTACATATAACTTTGAAGTAACTTCGTTATGGGTAACAGGAACTGTGCCAATAAGAGAAGTACAACCAGCCATGCACAGTAGTCTGAGGCCTGTAATCCTAGCACTTTGGGAAGGTAAGGCAGGAGGATCGCTTGAGTCCATGAGTTTCAGACCAGGCTGGGCAACATAATGAGACTCTGTACAAATAATTTAAAAATTAGGCTGGGCGCAGCGGCTCACGCCTGTAATCCCACCACTTTGGGAGGCCGAGGCGGGCGGATCACGAGGTCAGGAGATCGAGACCATCCTGGCTAACACGGTGAAACCCCGTCTCTACTAAAAATACAAAAAAAAGTTAGCTGGGTGTGGTGGTGGGCGCCTATAGTCCCAGCTTACTTGGGAGGCTGAGGCAAGAGAATGGCGTGAACCTGGGAGGCAGAGCTTGCAGGGAGCCGAGATTGTGCCACTGCACTCCAGCCTGGGCAACAGAGCAAGACTCCGCCTCAAAAAAAAAAAAAAAAAAAATAGCCAGGTATGGTGATGTGCACCTATGGTCCCAGCTACTCTGGAGACTGAGGTGGGAGGATCACTTGGAGGGCAGGTGAAGTGGTGGGGAGAACAGCCATGATGTGGGAGAAGTGAAGTTTTAGATTTGATACTATCTGGACAGTAGCTATTGTCTATTGTAAATTCTCAGAGAATCTATACTGTGTATAATAAATATGAAACTTAAATGTTCATGGTATCTATGTTGACTATATGTGTTTTAGTTTGACTTCTCCCTATAGATTGGTTTTGCTGTATTTTACTTATTTCTTGAATGTTATCAGTCATAATGGGTCAATAAATGACGTAATAACACGAAAGAGAAATTTCCTACCAAAATCAGGTCGCTTATTTTTGAAATCTGTTATCCCAGTGTTGCTGGCATTTGTTACAAATAGTTTGAAAAGAAAAAAGAAACAGACTTTAAATAACAAGATAAACACAGTATATCTCAAGCATAGGTATGGACTTGAAAAGAGTCATGACGACTCCTAGCAAGACAGCCATCAGGCTGACAATATATTAACCACAGTTAAAGAGACAATGTCCTTCTAAAAAATAAGGTTTGACATTGACACACAGAAAAAGAAGAATGTAGAGAGTAAAGGATGACAGTCAGTATATGAAGGAAAAAGGAGCTTTGGCTAACAGAAATCAAGCTCGTTCCTCTCTTGTGAGACCATCTATAACCACATGGATTTGGATATGGTACACAACCTGAATATAACAGACCAAGCTCTACTTTTAAAAAATTAACTGTTAACGAAACTGAGTTTAAAGTCAAACTAAATAAAACTGGGGCCTCTAAATGTCTCCATCACCCATAAAGCCAAGTGATTTTCAAAAGATTAGCCCTGATAATAATACATAAATAATACCTATCTCCAACCAAAGGGACAGCAAGATTCTACAAGCAAAAATAATAAAAGATGCAGTCAGCCAGGTGCAGTGACACACTGGTAATCCTAGCACTTTGGGAGGCCAAGGCAGGAAGACTGTTTGGGCCCATGAGTTTGAGACCAGCCTGGGCAACACAGTGAAACCCTATCTCTATGAAAATTTTAAAAAAATTAGCTGGCTATGGTGGTGCATAGTCCCACGTTACTGAGGAGGCTAAGGTGGGATGACTGCTTGAGCCGGGGAGGTCAACAGCTGCAATGAGCTGTGATCGCATCACTGAACTCCAGCCTGGGAGACAGTGTGAGACCATGTCTCAAAAAAGAAAGAGAAAAGGTCTTATAGAACTAAAAAAAAATTTTTAATTTATTTAAAGTGCAAACAATCTCAATTACTTTAATAAATTATCTAAATGTTGGTATAATTTATAAATGTATTAAGAATAATCACTGCAGCAGCCATGAAAAAAGAATGAAATCATGTCCTTTGCAGCAACATAAATGGAACTGAAGGCCATTATTCTAAGTGAACTAACTCAGAAACAGAAAACCAAATACCGTACATTCTTGCTTGTAAGCAGGAGCTAAACAATGGGTACACATGGACATACAGATGAAACTAACAGACACTGGAGTCTCCAAAAGGGGATATGGCAGGAACAGGATAAGGGATGAAAAATAAACTATCGGGTACAATGTTCACTATTTGAGTAATGGGTACACAAGAAGCCCAATCCCTACCAGTACGCAATACTGGTAGGGATTTGTTACAATACCCTGTAACAAACATACATGTGCCCACTGACTCTAAAATTAAATTAAACTAAAAAAAAAAAAAAACTGCAGAAATCAGAAGCAAAAGTAAATTTAGTTCTTCCAATAGTCAAAACAGATTTTTAAAAAGTACTGATTAAAAAACTTACTGAAATGATCAGGTGATCCCAGAGTTGAAAATACACAAGTCAAGAATTGAAGACGAACTTGAACTTCAGCACTATGGCTGTACCTATAATTTAAAAGTCATTAAAATAATTAAATATCCTATTTCTTAATTACTTTTAAAAATTTAGTGGTCCTATGCATAACTTATACCAAAAATTGTTTTAATAATTCATAATTATTTTAACTAAGTATCTTTGGTTACACGAAAGAAGTTCATAAAGGCAAAACAAAAAAATTTATACTATTTAATAAATTACACAAATCTCAAAACTACAACAAAGTTTACTTTCAAATTACATAAGAAAGCACACAAAAATTCAACAGTGAAGCAGAGGAAGTATGTCATTTTAAAAGTATGTAACACACACATAAGTTAGAATAGGCAACAAGTAAAAAACACCATCTCTATCTAAAAAGTACATACTTCATATCATAGTCCCTTTAGTGATAATATATTCTGTACCCAAGAAACACTAATAAAATAATATTTCCATAAATCTAGTTCATGAAAAGTAGAGCTGATACAAAATTTGTATTTTTGAATGTTATTTCCAATCTAAATAATTATAATTCACATGCATAAAATTTGATGCTTAATAAAAAAGTTGCTTTTGAAACTTTTAAAGAAGCAACTTTTAGTGAGGTAGGGTAGGAGATGAGTCTGAATAGATCAACAAGAGACAGACTGTGGTCGGCCCCAAAGTCAGAAAGAAGAGATAGAAAAGGAAGTCAGGGAAGAGTGCTGGTGAGTGGGGGTGAGGGGACCATGTTTGGGGTGGAGGTAATCATCAGGTTTGCTTTTTTAAAAATTTGTGTATTTGGGGCTGGAAGGGGGGCAGAGTCTCACTCTGTTGTCTAGGCTGGAGTGCAGTGACAGAATCACCGCTCACTGCAACCTCTGCCTTCCAGGTTCAAGTGATTCTCGTGCCTTAGCCTCCGGAGTAGCTGGGATTACAAGCTAATCCCAGCTAGGCGTGCGCCACCACACCCGGCTAATTTTTGTTATTTTTATTATAGTAGAGACGGGGTTTCACCATGTTGGCCAGGCTGTCTCAAACTCCTGACCTCAAGTGATCTGCCTGCCTTGGCCTAGCAAAGTGCTGGGATTACAGGTGTCAGCATGACCGGCCCAGGTTTGCATTTTAAAAGGATTCCTTTCCTTTGGCAACCCCAGTGAACTGCATATTTAACTGTGTCTATAATATCACATTCTAGTTCAAGTACTTGAGCACTCAATGAAACTAAGTCAATAATAAGCTATTATTGCTGTTTTACAGATCAAAAGGCAGACTGTGGATCAACTGCCCAAACTGCTTTGCCAACATAAAACAGTGGCTGGTCTATGCTCTGATCTATAACCTAGCATGCAGAAGGTCAATGGGCATTTTTTTTTTTTTTTTTTTTTTTGCCGAAACGGAGTTTCACACTCGCCCAGGTTGGAGTGCAGTAGCGTGATCTCAGCTCACTGCAACCTCCGCCTCCTGGGTTCAAGCGATTCTCCTGCCTCAGCCTCCCGAGGAGCTGGGATTACAGGTGCATGCCTCCACACCCAGCTGATTTTTTTTTTATTTTTAGTAGAAATATGGTGTCACCACATTAGCCAGCTGGTCTCTAACTCCTGACCTCAGGTGACCCACCCACCTTGGCCTCCCAAAGTGCTGGGATTTCAGGCATGAGCCACTGTGCACAGCCTGGGCATCTTAATTCAATGTCCTGTAATCCACAAGTAAGAGCAAAATTTTAACAGCATCCCAAAATTAGCTTCCCAAAATCGCACTAAATTCATTACTGAAGTTTTAAAGCTTAAGTTTTCTGAAGACTGAGTTCACTGGACATGCCTTTGCTGCTCTTTAGGGTCTCTTATTAATGCTGGCAAAGAAAAGATTAACTTTTGCCTCATTAATGCTGCACTCACCTTTGTGAAAGTGAAAATACATATGACGAGATGTAGGGGAGAGGAAATCTGATAAGCAACTCTCAGACTATAAGGCAACCCAGATAAAATTCAAGAACAGCTAGCTCTTAAGGGCTTCTAGGCTTTTTAAGTTAAACAACAAGGGATTTTGTAGCAGAGGCCTTGAGTACAAATTCAAAAATGAGTTGTATGACCCATCAGTTCTGCGGTTTTACGTTACTGTATCCTCTTGCCTTGTCTATGGGACATCAATCAAACATAAAAGGAGAATAAAGTCTTGCCCTTTACTAAGTGCCTTTACATCTGAAATAATTCTTCCCCTATACTTGCATCTCGGAATAAGGGACTAATAACCCTGAAGGCATGGGTCTAGTCCCTTTGTACTCCCACAGTATAGCCCCGATGCTGCACTTCAAAGATCTCTGTGGGCTCCATCAGGGTCCTATGGGCTGCTGAAACCACCAGTGAGAAAAATTCCTTGGGATGTCAGACAAAGATGGTATCAATATTGACAAATTCTCATGGGCTTGTCCATGGCTTCTGACATCACAGGAAATACAGGACAAAAACAGTCTCCCCAAAGATATGAAACTTTAGTAACAGATTACTGCCTTAAAAGAAAATCTCTTTGTAGCCTCCACAGACAAGATATTCTCTAGAGGGCACTGGATTCAGGAAACACGTAATATGTCCTTTTAAGAACATACTACAGGTGCAGTGGCTCATGCCTGTAATCCTAGCACTTTGGGAGGCGGAGGCGGAGGCGGGTGGATCGCCTGAGGTCAAGAGTTCGAGACCAGCCTGGCCAACATGGCGAAACCTTGTCTCTACTAAAAAGCGAAAACGAGCCGGGTGCAGTGGCAGGCACCTGGATTCCCAGCTACTCGGGAGGCTGAGGCACGAGAATCACTTAAACCCAGGAGGTGGAGGTTACAGTGAGCTGAGATCACGACATTGCACTCCAGCCTGGGCAAAAGAGCAAAAACTCCGTCAAAAAAAAAAAAATAAAGTGAAAAAAAAATAATATAAAATCAAAAAACAAAAATTACAAAATGAAAAAATAAAAATATCATCTTTCATGCTACAAGAATCTTTTTCCCCCCTCGGTGAAAAATTTCAGAACTTTCCTATTTTAATCTCCACTGGAAAAAAAATACTGAAATAAGTATGCATGAACAAAGAGTAGCAAATGTACACTTGTTTTACAGCCTGAAGGAATAGGGAAATTGTATCAAAATAGTCCAGACAACATCTCTCTGTTCTAAGAGTTTTATTCTCCTAGGATGGCAGCCAACAAGGCAGATTGAAAGGTTGGAAAGATTATTCTAGTATACCCTAAAAACACATCTCCAAGGAGCCCTACTCCTTTTTCACCACAGAAGCAATGCTTTGCTCACCTCTGATTCCACTAACAAAGTGAGTAACTTCACTGTTGTCAATGCAGTGAACAACTAAGTCTCAGACCTATGTTCCTTTTTGATACTTAACGTTGGACTTTCTCTTTACGAGGATGATTCACTTTATGACTTCCATTTCCCTTTCACTATGCCTCTCAAGTCCTGCTCTTCAAGTCCACAGGCTTACAGCTGTGGTGGGAGCTCTTTTATAACCTAGTGTTTATTTCTTTGCTGACAAGTAATTAACTCCCCATCTCCTAATAAAAATGTGGGCCATGTGTGGTTTTATTTCTGCTCTTTGTTGATCCTATGATTTTTGTTTGTTTTGTTTTTGAGACGGAGTTTCACTCTTGTTGCCCAGGCTGAAGTGCAGTGGTGCGAGCTCGGCTCACTGCAACCTCCACCTCCTGGGTTCAAGTGGTTCTCCTGCCTCAGCCGCCTGAGTAGCTGAGATTACAGGCATGCGCCACCACGCCTGCCTTTTTTTTTTTTGTATTTTTAGTAAAGACGACGTTTCTCCATGTTGGTCAGGCTGGTCCGGAACTCCCAACCTCAGGTGATCTGCCTGCCTCAGCCTCCCAAAGTGTTGGGATTACAGCCATGAGCCACCATGCCTGGTGATCCTATGATTTTTATAGAGCATAAATGTAATGTTTGGATTCAAGAGGCCACCATTATCGTCAAACTCTGCTTCAATAGGAAAAAAGAAGGATACTGACTTGGAATAACAGTTAGAATTTTAATATAATTTTAAAATAATACATCCTGTATAGAGGGAACTTTGTAAGCAAAGCTATGGAATACAGTAAATAGAAATACCCCAGAAATAATTTGATAAGCTTGTAGAATAAACTGTCAAAAAAAATTATAAAACTGGAAAGGTTGAGTTGAGTTCATAGACAGTCCAGAATACTAAGCTGAAGAGATTGGTATTTTATTTTTTATGCCATGAAGAATCTCTGGATGTGGTTAAGAGACAGAATTCTTGTATATTTCATATGCTATATTATTTGTTTTAACCAGGTAACTACAATTTGTAGATAACCTATGTGCCAGGTACAATTCATTGTATCATTTCATTAAATTCTTATAAACACTTATAAGGTAAATAATTGGAATTAGAAGGGTAAATAATTGAAATAAGGTTAAAATAATAGATTAATAACCTAGAGCTAGGTCTGCATGATTCTCAAGCCCATGGGCTTCCCAACAGTACCATACTGCCTTCCTAATTTGACAGATAGAAAGAATGAACCAGCATATGGGAAGACTGAGGCAAGGAGACTAAACTAGAGGTGGTTATAAGGACAAAAGTAGTGTTTGCGGAAATGTCAACTTGTGAAAAGACATGGGGTATATTTTAACAAAAAGGTAGAGATTAATGGCAGTATAATGTAGCATTTACAAATACAAATTCTATAACAGAAACAGACTGTCGGTACAGAAGCTCGCTCTATTCTTTGTGTGTGACGTTGGACAAGTTGTCATATCATATAGCTTCAGTATACTCATTTCTAAAGTAAAACGGTCTCAAATGGGTTGTTGTATATCTTAAAATAGTTGATATCTGACACAATGGTAAATATCAACTAACACTGGCTTTTTTCTCATCGTCATCATTATTCATGTTTGGAAATAAGAGTACAAAAATGCCTCAAGTCTCAAGTTTTAGGCAAGTGGGAGGATAGCTGCACCCTAAAGGACACAGTAAAAATAAAATCTAGAGAAGTAACTGATTTGTGCAGGGAAATAAGTAAATTTATTTTTAGAAGTATGCATGCCTTAAAGGTCTATGACTTTTCCGAACACTTCTACAGTCTGCTTAGTTTCCACCTTTGTGGAAGTTTTCTATGTGATTTTTTCAATCACAGTGTGACTCCTCCTCTTCTTCATTAATATGCCAGTAGTGGCATTGAACTGGTTTCCTCAACATGGACATCGGTCCATAACAATCAGCTCACCAGCAGAAATCTTCTGAATCTCCTATGCATCTCCTTAAAGAAGCTTCAAATACAGCTATACCACCACCAATCCATTTCTACCAATTCTTGTCCCAAATCACTTGAATATATCCAGAGAATATTTTGATGTAATGAGAAAATATTAATGATATACCACCAGTTTTAAAACCTTCCACACGTCCTAAACTTTCTAATACTAGTATGCAATTATAATAAAATGTTTTAAATTAACTGTTAATTATTTTTGAAGTAAATATTTACAAATTTTAGAATCAATGCTCTAAACTGTTAAAACAAGCATATCTATGGTTTCTGAAAAAATGTATTTACTTTTGATTCCTTAAAAACAGTTATCTTTGAACAAATCTCAATAGTGAAGGTTAACCAACCCCCAAAAGTGAGCCAGCTACATTTACCTAAGAATTTAAGAGTAACCTCCTAAGAATCTTTCAGCTTAAAAAGTTCTAGCAGCCTTTTCATAATTTTATACAAATAAAGTTTTCTGTTACAATTACTTATTATATGAAAAAAAGTTAAAACACTGGAAAATCATCTTTCAAAGGAAAGACATCGACACAAATGTATTTAACCCAGTTGAGAGGTACTTACAGTGCATGTTTTTGTCTTCCTTCTCTCACAGTTTGAATGTAGTATACCAAATTATCAAAGAAAAGCTTCATCATGTTCAGTTCTTTTTCTGCCCACCTGGCCCAAATAAAAGAAAAAATAATTTTAAAGTGGGCAGGGTAAGAGAATAAATCTATGCTATGACAGTAAATATGCAAATCTAAAAAAAATCTTCAAATGTAAAATTTTAGTTACGAAAAATATACACGTTTTATTTATATTTGAATGGTGAAAAGATATAAAGCAATGTTCCTTCATTTTTATGAATTTAAAGTACCTTTGTAAGTTTTTAATCTCAAAATGCCTGTGAAAGTACTATTATCAATGACTAATTTGAGTTAATATTAAAAGTAATATGATACCCTTTCATATAAGAATATACTATGTGCTTTGGTCATTACTTAGCACAATATCTGGCATACAGAAGGCATACAATAAACTTACTGCATATATCTTTTGTCATTAATTTGCTTATATTTTTGAACAAAATTTTTTTTAAAAAAATCAAAGAAATACCCAGCACTGAGTTCCAAAATAATGTAGAAATACTACAATGAAAACACAAATAGTGGCATATACATTCAGAGATCCCAGGGTCCATAACTTCCATAATTAACATAATGTATTTCATATAACACCTATTAGCAATTTATCTGCTAAAATGTACAGATGTAGAAGTATTAAAATTCTCTAAGTTCCATGTAATTTACATCGTGTTTCTGTTATAGCCATATTTTAAACAGAAGTTACTTTCACCTTGCTATTCACTAAATAAAGGTCAAGTGGTAGAAAGAAAAAGACTTTGGGTTTGAAGGCAGCTCCAATACACTTGCTACAACACAGCTTCAGGCAAGTAAGCTGTCTTGTGGAAGTCTGTTTGCTTGAAGGTTTATTAGAAGAATCAAGGGTAAGTTTCCAATTTTAAACTATGGGCCATTAGAACGAGTTTAAGAGATAATATGTACTAAATATTAAGTGCTGCTATACATACTAGACTCACAATAAATGACAGCTTTTGTTGTTACTGATGTCAAATAACCACAGGAGTTCTTTTAAGTGATGTAGTTTATGAGATTTAGGATACCAATCTCTTGTGGTAATGGAAACCCTGTGAATTTTCCTTAATTAAGCTTATTTACATTTAATTTAAGGAACAAGCTAAAAGAGTTTCAACTCAATATATTTAGGTTCGGGTACTTGATTAAGTAACTGAATATTCAGAGACTGCCCCTTCTATACAAGAAAGTTACTCCTTAATATGAACCACCTCCACTGACTATAATGACACCTGCTCGCCCGTGTTAGCACCAAATGACTGCCTTTACTGCATTAGAATTTTGAAATTCAGCCACTTAAAAATTATAGAAAGAGGCAATGAAAAATGGCTCACACTATTCTTGTTCTTCAGTGATGTTAAATGCTTTCCCTTACCCCTCCTTTTGGAAGCTGAAGGACCTTCCTTGCAAAAACAGAACCTTCACTGGATTCTTACTGTAGTATTAACCAAAGAAAGAGACTAAGATACTTCTAAATAATAATAAAGGTCCAGATTAAACATATTCCCTTTAAAAGAACAATTAGAAGCAAGGTATATGACTCAGAAGAATTAACTTCATCTAATCTGGAATTATAGTGCAGACTTCCAAGAACTATAAAAGTGATACTCCACTGTGAAAGCAAGCAAGTGTTCTTACCACCTAAGCTTAGAATTGAGAACTTGATCTCACAAATGAATCCTTCAACAAGTCGAATTTTCCCTAAAATTCAAATGTCTCCGAAATCTCTCCAAAAGCTTATTTAGAATAAAGCATACAACACATCTTCTTAATGTATTGTTTGTGGTAGACAACTTTCTCTAGACTTATTACCAAAACATGGGGTCGATTTCACATAAAAGTTCTACCTCTGGAAGAATTATTGTAACATTCATTAATCATAAGTTCTCCATAAATGGAGTAACTAGTTGAATATCCCTTATCCAAAATGCTGGAGACCAGAAGTGTTTCAAATTTTTTCAGATTCCGTAATATTCGCAGAATGCATAGCAGTTGAACATAACTAATCCAAAAATCCAAATTCCAAAATGCTCCAATGAATATTTCCTTTGAGTGTCCTACTGATGCTCCAAAAATGTTGGATTATGGAGCATTTCAGATTTTAGATTTTTCAGATTAGGCATACTCAACCTGTAATAAGGTAGTGTCAAGATTACCCCAAACATGACATTAGGTCTACAGCCAATTCCTAGAAATGGGAAAAATTAAAGGCATGCCAGAGTTTACTTTAGTGTGGCTCTTCTTCAAAAGTACTCTGCTGTAGCTGCATACGCTAAAAATCTCCCTAAAATTAGAGTATTAATTGCTAAAGTACTGTTCTCAAACTCCAAAGAAAACAAAACACAGATTTTCCTACTGATCAGGATATAATCTCTACAGGGGTAAGTGGCAGAAAAATCTAAGAAAACAAACCACATGAAACTCAAATTTTCCTGGTACAGAGTAAAAGCTTGTAGGTTAGTCAAAACCTTTAGATAACTATAATTAGAAAAAAATCTTTAAAATAAATACTTTTTTCTTTTATTTACTTACATTGTTATCCAGTGTGTATCGTAACTGCTCCCAAACTGCTGAAAAGTACCAAATAGTTTTGGAAGAAGACGAAGTGAAATTACTACTGATCTGAAACAGCAGAAACATTCACAAAATAATTTTAGTAATTCTTTTTATAGAAATTCAGCCATTTAAAATTTTAAATGCTAAAAGATTTAATGAATCTTGCATAGAGACATATTATTACACAAACATTAAACTTTTTTTCTCAGAAGTATAAATTCATTTTACATATTAGGGCAAGAACTGCAAGTTTAAAAAATTCCAATCCAAGATCTTTAAGGTAAAACACACTATAAATATCTGGGTAAAAAAGCAAGTGAAGAGCATTTAAAGATGTTTCTTAAATGAAACTATTTCTTCATAAGTCATTACCATTTTCTCCTAAATTCTCAATATGATTTGCATTCAAATTGAGAATCATGACCTTATGAACCACGTCACTAATGGAAGCACACCACATACCTCAAAAGTATAAGGAGCAGAAAGGGGAAAGGAAATTACTTTAAAACTTCAAGTAGATCTGAGTCTGCCTATCCTCTGAAAGGAACAGGTACAGGACAGATACTGACATAGAAATCCTGGAAGTAGGAAAGGAGGTTGGCTGCATGAGCCTTAAAAGAGGCAAAACAAATTCTAATGAAGAACTAAACTTATTTTAATCTTAGAAGCCAATACTGCTTCATGAAAAAATTTTTCACAAATTTAGGAAGTAAATTTTATTCACTTCCTGAATTTTCTTCAATAAACATGTTTTCATTTATAAAATGCAATGTGGAAGCAAGTATATGTTTGACGTTAGAGAAATAAGACGCCAGGCATTAAGTGGTTATTGACTGAGTTCAGTGAATAATGGTGTGGTTCATGAAAGACACAAACCAAAAGTAGGAATGTAGAAATAAGACTCATCTTCCTTCTACTCCTACCCTAAAGGAATGCTTTTCTCCAGAATTTATAAGTGCTGAATTATTGAGGAATAATTACATTATACATGGCTAAAGATTTTTAAGAGTTTTTCCTAAGATTATCTAAAAACTTCCAACTTTTCTCCCATTTAAAAGAATCAAATTCCAAAGAACAAAGACACACATTTTAAGTGCTATAATGACCAGACAGAGTCAAAGTCATCCCAAAGCACTAAAACATTTTATTAAAACTGATAAAATTTGTTTTTAAATGACAGAAAGTACTGCTTTTAGACTATAAATTAATAAAACACAGAATGGGAAAGATAATTTTGGCCTGGTGATAATAATTTATGTTTCAATGAAAAAGGAAACTTTACAAAATCAAATATAAAACTCGTTCCAATAAAGATTAAATTGTAGAATTTCTCCTATAATGACTATGAGATGTTATAATGACTTATCAACTTTTTTGCCCAAGTAGTTCTGACTACTGATATGCTTACAAAACTAACAAAAGCATAAAAGGGAAGTGTTATAGTCAAACTTACATTTCACAAATTCTTTCAAGACTGAAAATTTCAAATACCAAAACACATAATCCTAGGCAACAATGTGGTTAAGATAAAAAGATTCAATGGGCAACCACAAAGGCTCAATGGCCAACGCATAATGGTTCATGCCTGTAATCCCAACACTTTGGGAAGTCAAGGTGAGCAGACTGAGCCCAGGAGTTTGAGACCAGCCAGGGAAACACAGTGAGACCCGGTCTCCACAAAAAAATACAAAAAATTAGCCACCCATGATGGCACATGCCTGTAGTCCCACCTCCTCAGCAGGCTGAGGTGGGAGACTCGCTTGAGCCTGGGAGGCGGAGGTTACAGTGAGCTGAGATTGCACCACTGCACTTGGGCCTGGGTGACACAGTGAGACTGTCTCAAAGAGAAGATAAAGGTTCAATGATCCAGAGTAATAATACACTAATTTTAGACTCAAGAATAATCCTATTATACTGAATTGCACTAGTTGTTTGATTTATTCCAAGAGTTTGTGTTGTAACCAAAAGCTTATGACTATGCAACAGTGTGGTAGTCCTGTAAGAATTACTAAGGCAGCTTTTTGTTATCTTAGAACAGAGACATTCACTGTTGGTCTTCACAGCTGAAGTTACATATGGATGATTTTGCCTAATCTAGGACTCCATATTTTAAAGAAGTATATTCTACAAAATAGTCATTTAAAATTACAGCGTATATCAAAAGTTAACGTGAAATGCCATATATAATATAGTCTCTAGGGAAGCAAAACAAATTGTGTGTGTGTGTGTGTGTCCGCACAATTTTTTTTTTTTTTTTGAGACAAAGTCTCACTGTGTTGCTCAGGCTGGAGTGCAGTGGTGCGATCTTGGCTCACTGCAGCCTTGACTTCCCACCTCAGCCTCCCAAGTAGCTGTAACTACAGGTACGGGCCACCATGCCCAGCTAATTTTAAAGTTTTTCTGTAGAGATGGGGTCTTCCTATGTTTCCAAGGCTGGTCTCAAACTACTGGGCTCAATAGATGCCCCATCTCACCCTCTCAAAGTGTTGGACTTACACGCGTGAGACACTGTACCTGGTCCCTTTTGGATCTTTTTAATTTTCCTACCTATAAAAGAAGTATGTACTCATTTTAGGAAAACTGAGTAACAAATAGGCACAAAGAGAAAAAAAAAAAACCTCAAGCTGGGTGCAGTGGCTCACGCCTATAATCCCAGCACTTTGAGAGGTCAGGGCAAGCAGATCACTTGAGGTCGGGAGTTCGAGACCAGCCTGGCCAACGTGGCAAAACCCCATCTCACCTAAAAATACAAAAGTTAGCTGGGCGTGGTGGTGCACACCTACATTCCCAGCTACTTGGGAGGTTGAGGCAGGAGAATCACTTGAACCCGGGAGGCAGAGGCTGTCGTCAGCCAAGATCATGTCACTGCACTCCAGCCTGAGAAACTGACTGAGACTCCATCTCAAAAAAAAAAAAAAAAAAAAAAAGCAAAACAAAAAACCTCAATCCTCCCAAAAATAACTGCATTGTAGAGATTACACTCTGACTTATTTCTTACAATCTTTTCTTTTTAACGGTTAGGCCTGCAATTATTTGCCTAAATCATTATATAATCTTTGAAAATAGGACCCTTAATGGCTGCATGATATTTAATCTTTCATACAGTTTTCTCTTTCTATTGAAGTATAATAAACATACATACAAAAGAGGGCACAGATCTAAGCGCACAGCTCAAAATACTGAGGTAAACACATCTATGTAACCAGCAACCAAATCAAGAAACGAATCAGTATCAGCATTCCAGGAGCCTCTACTGTGTCCCATTCCAACCACTCAGGGTAGCTATTACCCAGTCTACTAAATACAAGAACTCACCTGTTTTTACATGATATAAATAAAATAATAGAGATACATAATGTTTTTGTGTCTGGCTTCTTTCTTGCAACATTGTGTTTGTGAAATTCAACCAAGTTGTTCCATGTAGTTGTTCACTGTTCATTCAATGTTACTGCTATATAGTATTTCAATGAATAGTCCACAATTATCCTTTCTACTTTTTTTTTTTGCATTTGAATAGCTATGCAAAGAATACGTAGTTATGTTATGTTATTTATTTATTTATTTAGAGACAAGGTCTCACTCTGTTGCTCAGGGCTGGAGTGCAGTGACGTGATCACGACTCACTGCAGCCTGAACCTCCCCAGGCACAAGCAATCCTCCTACCTCAGCCTCCCAAGTAGCTGGGACTACAGGCACACACCACCACATCTGGATACTTTTATTTGTATTTTTTGTAGAGGCGAGGTTTTACCACATTGCCCATGCTGGTCTCAGTCCTGGACTCATGCAATCCACCTACCTTGGCCTCCCAAAGTGCTGGGATTACAGCCATTAGCTACTGCGCCCGGCCTAGTTATTTTCAATAGGGCTGCTGTTAGCATTCTTGACTCTGCCTTTGGGTGATCACCAGGGTATATTTTGTTAGGCATATACTTAGAAGAGGAATTACTGGGTCAGAGGGTATGCAGATGCACATATGGAGAGTACAAATTATTGAACCACTTATTAAAATTTGTGTTTTCACAAAGACTTTTAAAAGAAAATTAACATTTTACAATTAACTGTTATAAAACCTATGTAAATGATGACATATCATCCAGCCATTAAAAGAATTATTTTCAAAGAATATATACCGGCCAGGCACAGTGACTCACGCCTGTAATCCCAGCACTTTGAGAAGCCAAGGCAGGAGGATCACCTGAGGTGAGGAGTTGAAGACCAGCCTGGCCAACATGGTGAAACTCCATCTCTATGAAAGTACAAAAATTAGCCAGCCATGATGGCAGGTGCCTGTAATCCCAGCTACTCAGGAGGCTGAGGTGGGAGAATCGCTTGAATGCGGGAGGCAGAGGTTGCAGTAAGCCAAGATCACACGACTGGACTCCAGCCTGGGCGATGGAGCAAGACTCCATGTCCAAAAAAACAAAGAATGAATACCAAAGGAGGCAACTGATTCATTTACAAAGTTCTACTAGTGGTTTCTTATATGTGCATGAACAATGAATTTTTCTACTGTAACTGCTCAACGTATTGCCCTTTAAAGAACCAAAAAAAGAAAATAAAATATAGCATGTACTTTTAAAATTCAATAGGGGAAAAAAATATTTTCAAGCACTTATTTGGTAAAATTAGACAATCATAGCAGGCCTACACAGATGTGAGCAGAAAACAATATATTAATAACTGAACTGTCAACATACACACCAGAATTGTGTTTTCACTACATTAGAGAATGGAACACTATCAAAGCAGTATAGGTCAAGGGAAACATGAAACTGTATCCATGGAAGAACACTGAAAACCAAGAAATGTGTCATCAACTGAGTCCCAATGAGAAGTACATAAATATGAGGCAGAATTCAAACAAGAGAAAAAAACACTAATCTGTTTAAAAACAAAAACCAAAAAACAAAAAAAGACTTTTGAGGTATGACAAAAGAACTGTACATATCTAATATATACAACTTGATGAGTTACTAACCTAGTCTTTTATGCACTACAAATGCTGAGACATTAAAAGATACATCTAAATGGAAGAACAATACTAATATCAAAGTGTTTATGTTGTAGCTTAAGTAAAATTTCACTTAACTTATTTAGCATCCTTTATGAGACAGTTCAAGAACATTTAACTGCAATTTGAAAACAGAGTAATCACCAAGGTGTCCCCAGAATCAAAAAGATAGTATTGTTATTTTTTTGTTTCTGTTGGGTGGATCTAACAAAGAATGGTGAAAGGTGCTGAAAAGAGCAACACTGAGTGCTAAAATATGAACCATGTTAAGAAGAAACCTCTAAATTTCATATGAAAACTATAATTACTAAAAAACAGATTAATACAGGTATATGAAACAGTATAAAAACATCACACCTAGTCAACAAGAATGTCCCCCCACACCCAAATACTTTGACTACTGCATTAAAAATTTTTAAATTCCTCTTTACCTGTTGTTTCCCAAGTTTTCAAGGCAACCTTCAATGAATCTCATTCGAATTTGTCTATCTGTAAACCAACATACTAACGAACAAAGAAGTTTCTCTGCTTCATTTATTAATCCTTCAGAAAGATTAACCTATAAAAAATGTATATAAAATTACTATTTATCCTAATTGCATCTTGCTGAAATTTCTTACTCTTCTGGTTCTATTAAATAACTTACTGCATCTTCATCTTGGACTATATCCCACAACAAAGTATTTCCTTTCTTGCAAACATTATCCAAATTAATGTCTGTAACAGCATTACTGTTGAATTGATGTTTATGAACTACAGGTCCTGAAGAGAAAAAAAAAAAAAAGACACACTATAGAGAAATGCAGCTGACTGATTATAGCATTCATATGGTTAGCAAATCCAAAGAAAAGTACACGATATTTTTCTCAGATCATAAAATAAAAACACATTAGCACAATATTTTGTTTTGTTTTGTTTTTGTTTTTTTTTTAAATAGAGACTGAGTCTCGCTATGTTGGCCAGGCTGGTCTTGAACTTGTGGCCTCCAGTAATCTCCTTCCTCAGCCTCCCTAAGTGTTGGGATTACAAGTGTAAGCCACTGCACCCAGCATGGCACAATACTTATGAGGAGAGAAGAATAGTGCCATTTAGATTTGATAAGGCTAAAGTGAAATCGTTTCCTTTCTACAGTCTCTTTGCTATCTATAGTGATTAATATTTTCACATCAAGAGAACTGTACATAAATACTTGAAACTAAGTGTGAATAAGACAACATATTTGAAATAATTATTTAAACAGACATACCTCTAAATGACCTATATAATCTTTTATAATCCCTATATTTAAAAAAAAACTTAACACTATTTTTATTGGAGATAATTTACCCTTAACATTCAAATTAAAAGACTCTTTTATAGAAATACTACATTTTGTTTAGACACTCACCAGTTATAGGACATTTGGATAGTTTCTAGTTTTACGCTATTATTAACAAAACTACCATAAACATCTGTGTAACAAGTTTTGCATCATTTCCTTTCCTTTCTCTTGGGTAAATACTAGGATTGACATCACTGAGTCATAAGGTATTATGTATGTTTAAAAGAAAACTGCTGAAAAGATTTCCAAAGAGGCTGTGCCCTTTTACATTCCCATCAGCAGTGTATGAGAGCATCAGTCCCTTTCTTCCATATTCTCCCTAACACCGTAGTACTGTCACTCTTAATTTCACATACCTATTTTTAATTTCACATACCTATTAAGGTATGTGGTAGAATCTCATTGAGGTTTTTAATTTCCATTTCCCTAATGACTAATGATGAGAATCTTTTCGTATGCTTATTAGCCATGTGTATACCTCTTTGGTGAAATAAGTAATTTGCCACTCTTTTAATTGGGTTGTCTTACTATTGAGTTATGAAATTATTTTATATTCCAAATACAATCCATTTCATAGATATATAATTTTCAAATATTTCTTCTAGTCTGTGGCTTGTCTTTTTTTTTTTTTTTTGGATGGGTGGGGGGACTGTTTTGGTATTTCGCTTTCATAATTTTATCGAAATACATATATAATCAAGATGGAGAACGTTTCTATCACCCTAGGAAGTTCCCTTGTGATCCTTTACAATCAGTCCCCACCCTCAAGCCCTAGGCAATGATTGAGGAGCTTTCTTTCCTTACAAATTACTTTTGACTGTTCTAGAACTGCACATAAGTAATACACAGTATGTACTTTCTTCTATTTCTAGCTTCTTTTGCTCAGAATGATGTTTTCAATATTCATCCATGATGTTGGATGTGTCTGTAGTTCTTTCCTTTCTACTGATGAGCAAAATTCCACTATGTGAATTTATCAGTTAATTCCAGTTGGAAGGCCTTCTGAATAAAGCAGCACACATGAACAAATCTTTTCACAGACATGTTTTCACTTCTCTTGAGTAAAAACCTAAGGCAAAAAAACTGCTGGGTCATATGGTAGGTATATATTTAACTTTGTGATAAAGCAGTTTGATACAGTTTGAATGTTTTGTCCCCTCCAAATCTCATGTTGAAATGTGACCTCCAGTGTTGGAGGTGAGTCTAGTAGAAGGCGTTTGGGTCAAGAGAGCAGATCCCTCATGAATGTCTTCATGCTGTCCTCACCATAGTGTGAATTCTTACATTGAGTTCAGATAAGATCTGGTTGTTTAGAAGAGAGTGACACCCCTCCAACCCCCCGTTTCCACTTCTGCCATGAGACCCCTGCTCCCCCTTCACATTCTACCATGATTGTAAGCTTCCTGTGGCCCTCACCAGAAGCAGATGCTGGCACTATGCTTCTTGCACAACCTGCACAACTGTGAGCCAAAATAAACCACTTTTGTTTATAAACTACCCAGACTCAGGTCTTTCTTTTTTTTTTTTTTTTTTTTTTTGAGATGCAGTCTCGCTGTGTTGCCCAGGCTGGAGTGGAGTGGTATGATCTTGGCTCACTGCAACCTCCCCGCCTCTCAGGTTCAAGTGATTCTCCTGCCTCAGCGTCCCGAGTAGCTGGGACGACAGGTGCCCGCCATCACACCCAGCTGATTTTTGTATTTTTAGTACCAACGGGGTTTCACCATGTTGGCCAGGCTGGCCTCGAGATGCTGACCTCAGATGATCCACCTGTCTCGGCCTCCCAAAGTTCTGGGATTACAGATGTGAGCCACCGCACCAGGCGATTTCTTTATAGCAACACAATAATGGACTAACACACAGTTCTCCAAAGTGATTATATTTTATGTTCAACAGCAAGTTATGACAGTTCCAGCTCCACATTCTAATGTCAATCCTTGATAGTATCAGTCCTTAATTTTACTCATTTCAATAGGTATGTAGTAGTGCCTCACTGTGGTTTTAACTTATATTTACTAGATGACAAGAGACACTGAGAGTGTACTTACTGGCCGTTTCCTTTTTTTTTTTTTTTTTTTTTTAAGACGGAGTCTCACTCTGTCATCCAGGCTGGAGTGCAGTGGCGTGATCTCGGCTCACTGCAACCTCCACAGCCTGGGTTCAAGCGATTCTCCTGCTTCAGCCTCCCAAGTAGCTGGGACTACAGGTGAGCACCACCATACGCAGCTAATTTATTTTTTTTTTTTGTATTTTTAGTAGGGATGGGGTTTCACCACGTTGGCTAGACTAGTCTCGAACTCCTGACCTCAAGTGATCTGCCCACCTCAGCCTTCCAAAGTGCTGGGATTATAGGTGTGAGCCACCATGCCCAGCCCTTATTGACCATTTCTATGTATCATCTTTTATGTAGTATCTGATCAACACTTTTGCCCATTTTTAAACTGACTGTCTTACTCTGTTGGAGGAGGTCTTCTAGTACTAAAAACATTGTAAAACAAGGTAGATTTGGAAAGCATTAACATATACTATCATTTTATTCTGTCTACAATGGGTTGTGAAAAGAAAACCATTTTGTTCAATTTCTAACTCCACGCAGTAAAAAATAGGTAAAATATTGATTAAAGGAAAATTTGAGAAAAGAATGGTAACAATTTACAAATATGGCATCACATTCAGTCAGATGACCTCAATCTAACCTATTCCTTTCTCAACAACCACAACAGCACAACAATAAAATAAGTCAAAGTAACTTAACCTAGACAGATCATGTACAAAAAACACATACAAATCAGTAAATTGTTGCCAAGGTCCACAAGTTGTGTTTCTAAGTGTGTTTATGGCCTCTTTGCATAAACGTAATCCATCCGGTTTACTTATAATGTACTGGCTATCCAAAACCCATTTACTAGGCCAGCATATGTTGATGATACCAACCAAACAAGAGGTTTAAGGCCTTTAAACTGCCAATTCTAAAACTGTTTTTCACTTTCTTATTTTTTCTTGCTTTACTCATTAATTCCCTACTACTCTTTACCTTCCTCCATCCTCCATTCTTTCAAGTCTGGTCATGTCCTATTACTTTAAGAGTGATTTAGACTTGAACAATCATTTCTCACACTCGCCCCTCCTTATTCCCTCCTACCCTTCCCTAACCCCAAGCAACCACTAACCTTCTGCCTGCAGATTTGCCTATTCTAGACATATCATATAAATGGAATCATACAATTTTATCTTTTGTGATTTCCTATACTTTTAGGTCCTAGGATTTCTGAGTATAAATTCTAATACAACCATATATTTTCTAAAATATAGAGCTTTAATTATTACATATTATTGCTATATATTTTCTTTCCCCGCTGAATATCTCAATAGAACTGCAGGACTTATTTATATTCATGATGGACTATTTATAATAATTTAATTCCCTTGGGGGAAAAAAAAAAACTACCATATGTAAGTTATTTTGACAAAAACATTTAAGTACCATAACCTTAACTATTGAGTCCTTTCAACAAAGTAAGATAAATTATTCCTGTTGTGAAGAAGGTAATATATTTTACTTACTGTAGAGTCTTACCTTGACTAAGATGTTCATGGTAAATGGAAGCTAAATTGGGAAGATGTTGTTGGAGGTGAGATGTCAGTTCCGCATGTGAATTAATCTGAACTAGCTCCTCTTCACATCCAGATTCTTCACCATCAAAATCAGCCATATTTTTTTCTGATTTTGCACTAACCTGGGAGCTACTACAACTGACATCATCTGCACTTAGCATATCATCAACCATATGCCTACAAAACAGAGAAAAGCACAAAGTTAGTAATTACGAATGTGAATCTAATTTGTGAACCACAAAAAATACCTCTCTTAAACTTACAAATACACTTAGAAACAAACCGACATCTGCTTATTAACAATATGGAATGTTGAGAGCTTTACGAAACTGAAAACTTCACACTGTCAGAATTATTAAATAATTTTACAATATACAGTCATATTACCAGGCCTATTAAGACACCTCATTAAAACAAATTCAAAGAACAATTTTAGGCAAGATCACTAATACTCACTGTTTACATATTATTTTATACTCAAAGTCTATAAAATGTGAAACCATAAAAAGTGTGGTTTTTTACAACTGTAGAATCAAACCAAAAAAACATTTCAATTTAAGGCTGCAGTCTTGATGGACTTAATATTAACTGGGGAACTTCTAACCAAACAAACCCAAATTAAGTATTCATTTCTAAAACACATTGTTACCGGACATAAAGACAAAATGATTTAAAAAATCGAAAAATAACATGAAGTTCAGGGTTGATTTAGAGACTCACAAGTAGTACCATTAATACACAGAATATGAAAAGAGCTAAAATGAAAAATTAAATCATTAGGTCTTGTGAGGTATGGAATGGGTATAGGTGTCAAAACTAAGATTTGCAGTGTACCAAACTGAATATATTGCACCTCAGTTTTTTAACTGCTTTGTCTTCATCATGAGCTGTGCTGGGGACAACTGTGAATGTTTGTATCTATAATGCAAGATAGTGAGCCAGTGGTTCCCAATCAGGGGTGAATTTAGGCCCCTGGGGGAAATCTGGAAATATCTAGAGATATTTTTGGTTGTCAAAACTGAGGAGATGCTAGTGGAATCTAGAGATAAGGCTCAGTATAGTGGCAAACATTCTGCAATGCACAGGGCAACATTAGCATTGCTATACATTCAAATAAAAAAAAAATGTTCTGGCCCAAGGCTGGGCATGGTGGCTCACACCTGTAATCCCAGCACTTTGGGAGGCCGAGGCAGGCGGATCATTTGAGGTCAGCAGCTCAAGACCAGCCTGGCCAACATGGTGAAACCCCGTCTCTACTAAAAATACAAAAATTAGCTGGGGCATGGTGGTGCATACCCATAATCACAGCTACTCGGGAGGCTGAGGCAGGAGAACCACTTGAACCCAAAAGGTGGAGGCTGCAGTGAGCCAGGATCGTGCCACTGCACTCCAGCCTGAACAACAGAGTGTGACTGTGTTTAAAAAAAAAAAAAAAATTGTAATTATCTGGCCCAAAATGCCAATCTTGAAAAACACTTCCTTAATCTCAGATGCATCAGTGCTAAGAATTAAAAAGCAAAGGAAATAAAGAAGTAATATGTATAGATATGTAGAGTTCACCCTAACAACTTAATTGCATTCTGGAAGATCTGGCAAATTGTCGAGTATAGCAAAACTCAATCTGATAAAGGGCATACCCATGATTCACCATAAACTCACATAGTATCACTCGTAACGACAATGATAAATATACAGCTAACACTTATCGAGCACTTATTGTGCACCAATCACATTAGTTAGCCCAGGAAATCCTCACAATAAAACCATGAGATAGATACTATTGTGCCCATTTTATTTTTAGAGACAGAGTCTCATTCTATTGCCCAGGCTGAAGTGTAGTGGTGCAATCACCACTCACTGCAGTCTTGATCTCCTGGACTCAAGCGATCCTTCCACCTCAGCCTCCCAATTATCTAGAACTACAGGTGTGTGATACCATGCCTGGCTAGTGTTTTTAATATTTTTGTAGAGACAGGGCCCCACTAAGTTGCTCAGGCTGATCTCAAGCTCCTGGCCTCAAACGATCCTCCTGCCTTAGCCTCCAAAGCACTAGGATTATTGTTCCCATTTTATAGATTGAAAAAATGAAGAAAAATTAATTATTTTGCCCATCATAATACCACCACTAAGTGACAGAATCACATTATTTGGTATATTTCACAGATAACCAAAAAGTTTTATGCTGGAGCTTACCCTTTTAAATACCCTAAAATTAGATGTGTAAAATTTCCCTTTCTTAATCACAATTTAGGAAAGTTTCCATAAGCACTCATATCTTTTTTAGGCATTTATTACAAGATGTTGAAAATCTAATCCTGTGTTATCCAATATAATACCAACTAGCCATATGTGACCATTACACACATAAAACATGGTAGGTCTAGGCTGGGTATAAGTAGCTTACGCCTGTAATCCCAGAGCTTTGGGAGGCTGCGGCAAAAGCACTGAGGTCTGGGGTTCAAGACCAGCCTGGGCAACATAGCAATACTCTGTCTCTATAAAAAAAAAAAAAAAAAATTAAGAATTAGCTAGGAGTGGCAACACACACCTTAAGTCTCAAGTGCTCAGAAAGCTGAGGCAGGAGGATTGCTTGAGCCCAAGAGTTTGAGACTACGGTGAGCTATGATCACATCACTGCACTACAGCCTAGGTGACAAAGTGAGACCCTATCTCTTAAAAAAAAAAAAAAAAAAAAAAAAAAGGCCAGGTGCAGTGGCTCACGCCTGCAATCCTAGCACTTTGGCAGGCCGAATCATAAGGTCAGGAGTTCAAGACCAGCCTGGCCAATATGGTGAAACCCCATCCTACTAAAAATACAAAAATTAGCCAGGCATGGGTGGGGGGTGGGGGGCACCTGTAGTCCCAGCTGCTCAGTAGGCTGAAGCAGAAGAATCGCTTGAACCTGGGAGACGGAGGTTGCAGTGAGCCAAGATTGTGCCACTGCACTCCAGCCTGGGTGACAGAGTGAGATTCCAACTCAAAAAAAAAAAAAAAAAAAAAAAAGGCCGGGCCTGGTGGCTCACACCTGTGATCCCAGCACTTTGGGAGGCCGAGGCGGGCAGATCATCTGAGGTCAGGAGTTCAAGATCAGCCTGGTCAACACGGTGAAACCCCATCTCTACTAAAAATACTAAAAAAGTAGCCAGGCATGGTGGTGGGTGCTTGTAATTCCAGCTACTCAGGAGGCTGAGGCACAAGAATTGTTTGAGCCTGGGAAGTGGAGGTTGCAGTGAGCCTAGATCGTGCCACTGCACTCCGGCCTGGGCAACAGAGCGAGACCCTGTCTCAAAGAAAAAAAGAAGAAGAAAACAAATAAATCAATAAATATTTTAAAGAATTAAAGGGTGGCTGGTCTAAATTGAAAAGTGCTATAAGTATAAAATATGCACTAAATATTGAAGACTTGGTAAGAAAAAAAGGAAGGAAATACCTTAGTAATTTTTATACTTATTACATGTGTAAATGGCATTGTGGATATTATTGGTTTAACATGATTAAAATTAACAACCTGGTTTTTTATTGTTGTTGTTCAACGTTTTGCTTTTGAGTCTCACTCTGTTGCCCAGGATGGAGTGCAGTGGTGTGATCTCAGCTCACTGCAACCTCCACCTCCCAGGTTCAAGTGATTCTCCTGCCTCAGCCTCCCAAGTAGCTGGGATTACAGGCGTGCACCACCATGCCCGGCTAATTTTTCTATTTTTAGTAGAGATGGGGTTTCACCATGTTGTTCAGGCTGGTCTCAAACTCCTGACCTCAAGTGATCCACCTGCCTCGGCCTCCCAAAGTGCTGGGATTATAGGTGTGAGCCACTGTGCATGGCCAACAACCTGCTTCATTTTGTGTTTTTAAATGTGCCCAATAGAAAACTTGAAATTATCTATTTGTAGCTTACATTTATAGTTTGCACTATACTACTAATGAATAGCACTAATACAGAATAAATTGCAAATTGAATATAGGATATAATACTTCCCTAAAGGAAATATGAACTGAATATTTATTTTGAAGTAGGCTTACCCATCGTGGTGGTGGTGATGGTGGTGGTGGTGGTGGTGATGCTGTGGACCAATAAATTGTCGACAATTAAATAATTCATTCCCAATAGTCTCCCCAAGGAAGTCCCCAGTTCGTGTGATACAAGACTCCTGAGACCCTTGTGCTATATGAGTAGCATTCATTTCCCCTGAAATATCATGTTCTGGGTCTTCAGAGTGTGAACAAGCATCCAGCATTCGCATTCGATTATCTACTGATGGCAATGATTCAGTGTTAAAAACCAGGTCCTTTCCTGTTCCGCTGCTTGTCCCATTTCTTTCTGACATGCCTTGGGAGTCCCCCAGGCAAATGCCTGCTTGACTCTCTAACTTTCTATTCCGAAGATCTGTACCACAACTGCTTTTGGGAGGATTATGACCATGATCATCGTCTTCATCTTCCTCTTTGAGGGCTTCAATATCTGCAATGTCTTCTGACTGTACCTCACTGCCAGGGCTCCCAGCTGACTGGCTTGCGTGGCTAGAATTAACCTCATTGCTAGATCCATCACTATGCCCACTACTGCTACCAGGACCACTGCTTCCATCTTCACCACTGTTGGCAGTTTCGTCAGAACTTCCCTGCATGGATTCCTGTATTTTGAAACAAATAGATTTAAATAAATATTTAAACCAGTAAGAAAAAAGGTAACCAACATTAATAAACTGTACTTTTTAAAAAGGCTGCCAGTCTTGTTATACTCCTTTGAACAATACAAAATGGAATTAAAAACTCAAAGGATGTCAAAAATATTACGTAAAGGAGAGGACAAGCCCAAACATGAATTATGTATATATACCCAATTCAAATGATAAACACGCCAGAAAGCCAAAAATGCCTATAAAAGAAGAAAAACCTATTTTCATACCTCTGTGTCTGAAAGTCGTTGTTGCACATGTTTGGTTCTATTAATAAGTTGCTCATCCATTTCAATGTCACTACCTCCACTTTGATGTGTATCGCTATTATCACTGCTTTGAGGACTAGCTGCAGGTGACCCTATATAAAATACATTTTTTGTTTTTACTTCTAATTTATATTAACATTGACTTAACAGAATGACATTATCATTTGATTCCTTGACCTAGTTACCAAAGCTTTATGCTAAGTAGCCAAAAATAAAATCTCTAAATATGTTAACATTTGCTCATGATTTCTAAAGAAGATGTAAGATTCAATTAAAAGTCAAGATGTTTAAGATTTTAAGAAAAATGGGTAACACGAATATGTTAAAGGTTTACATCTCCTCAAAATGAACTTTATGACTGATACAAATATATTATTATGTAAAATCAATGAACTCTAGAAAACCACTATAAAAAACTAAGTCATGTTGCCATGAATTTCTAAGGCTCAACTTACAAGGTGATGGAGCTGTTCTTCTAAGCTCTTCTTCCTCTGAAGGAAAAGGAAAAAACAGGAGAAAAACATTCTAAGTGACTCAGCTTCTTTGAGACAGCGTATCAGTTGTTCATATTACATAATCAACAAGATGTAAGTGGAGAAACCTGCAATAAGGTTAAGTCCCCACCACCTACAGTAGTTGTTGGGGGTGCCTGCACAGAAAAGCCTAAGAGAGGGGTAGTATATGTTGTCAGGAGACAAAAACTGAGTTCAACTAATGTTTCAGAAAGCCCTTGAAAGCTATGTATGTTAAAAAAAATACCCACTGGCCAGATGCAGTGGGTCACGCCTGTAACCCCAGCATTTTAGGAGGCCAAGGCGGATGGATGACAAGATCAGGAGATCGAGACCATCCTGGCTAACACGGTGAAACCCCGTCTCTACTAAAAATACAAAAAAATTAGCTGGGCGTGGTGGCGGGCACCTGTAGTCCCAGCTACTCGGGAGGCTGAGGCAGGAGAATGACGTGAACCCGGGAGACGCAGCTTGCATTGAGCCAAGATAGCACCACTGCACTCCAGCTTGGGTGACAGACCGAGGCTCCGTCTCAAAAAACAACAACAACAACAACAACAACAAAAAAACCCCACAAAGCACCTGACATGGCAGAAAACTTTGAAGCAGAAAACACAACAAGATAACTGAATCATTATGTTCTACTCTTAAAATTATTTCTGAAACAAAACTTGTTTGTTTACAAAATGAAATCTCCAAAGCTTTTGTTTAAAAAAAAAAGATAACCAAAGCTGAGAAAATCCAGTAACTACAAAGACTTCATCACTATCCTTCACTTAAAAGGTAAACCAAAACACGAACTAATCACAGTATTAATCCTTTTATATGCACTCTTCTACCCATCCCACACTTATTTTAAAATAAAGATTGAACTGAATGTATTAGCAGAAAATATTTCAAATCTGAGTGAGAAGCTCTCAACAATTTACTTCAAAATACATGACATTACTAACCTTTCTTATTTCCAATGGGAATATTAGTATTTAATAAAGATGCAAAAGAACTCTGTTTAGATAACTGAGCCTTAGCTGCTAGTGCGTTATTCCACAGTGCTTTAATTAACATGGATGCCAAGTACAGTGTCTAAAAAAAAGAGGGAGAGATTTCAGTTTGAGAATTCCAGGCAACACTAACAAATTTAATATCCTTTTTGTCAAACTGAAATGCCAAGACAATAAAATGAAAGTTAAATTATCTGAATCACAAGGAAATTTTCACTTCACGGGAAAAAAAAAAAACTATCATGTTTTGAATGTATTACCTGTTCAGTATGAACACTTGGCTCAAGAGCTGAGACCAGATTAAGTAGATGTCTAAGTGGTACGGGATCCAAATTCTTGATGAGTGAAGGAAATAAGTCATGTATATACCGACTACAATGTTTCAACTAGAAAATCAAGTTAGAGAGAATGGTCAAAAATAATTGCCCAATACATGTAGATTACCTGATATAAAAACAGTTTGAAAGTCAAAAAGTTGGCCAGTACACTAATATTTTTTAATATGACGGTAAAATGCTAATTATCTAAGATGATGAATGGCAGTGCATAAAACAGTAAAAACAAATTCACCTAAACAGAAATGAAACTTAACCAAACAAATGACAAGCTGAATTTCCTAATTATAAGAGGGAAGGCTGGGCGTGGTGGCTGATGCCTGTAATTCCAATACTTTGAGAGGCTGAGTTGGCAGCACAGCTTGAGCCCAGGAGTTTCAGATCAGTCTGGGCAACATAGTGAGACCTCATCTCTGTAAAAAATACATTTTAAAATTAGGTGGGTGCTGAGGTGCACACCTGTGGTCCCAGCTACATAGGCGGCTATGGTGGGAAGATCTCTTGATTCCAATGGAATTAATTTACATGTCATAATACAAAAATAAGTTAAATAGTAAATTAAAATACAAATAAGACAATAAATTACGCTTAGGAGAAAAAAGTAAATTATCACAGGTGTGCCAGATTTGTTATTAAATCTTTATAAAGTATTTATATAATGCTTTTATTTTACTGGAGTACACAACAGAAACCCTTATAAAGATCTATAAAATAATAAACCATGAGATACAAAGACTTCTTTGTTATAATAAACACAAACATGTAAATTCATGAGGGACAATATTTATGAAGATATAAACACTAAATATTATGTCATGTAAAATAAAAGTATTTTACAGCCATGAAGCTGCTAACTACTAAATCAAGATAGGGTAATAAACAGAAGATTAGACAAGTAATTCCCAATTTGAGGGCTGTCAAATGCAAAGTTTCCTACTTTTAATACATAAAAAAATCTATTAAAATATAGATTTTACTCAAAAATACTGATTTTTATATTTTGTAGGCATACACATATGAATTCTCTTCTGCTGCTTCTCTTTCAGGGTAAATATGCACAACCTAATACTGAAATATAAGGTGAAATACATGTAAGAAAACATAATACTGCAGGAATTCTTCTATCTTGGTGAGGCTTCTTATAAATTACACTATCTGCTTCTACTGCTATTTACTTTAACACCACTAAGTATCCATTTAAAAAACAATGGCAGTACTTCAATACTACAAACAGTATTTGATTTTAAGGACAAGTGAATACTCAGTAAGTTTACCACTTTTACAGGTCTTGACTAAGAATGTTAATTTAAATATAGTATTAAATAACATTACAGATTAAAATATGCAAGTTAAGTATCCCCTATCTGAAATGCTTGGAAGCAGAAGTGTTTCAGGTTTTGGATTTTTCCACACTTTGGAGTATCTGCATTATATACTTACCAGTTGAAGATCTCTAATTCAATAATCCAAAATCTTAAATGTTCCAATGAGTACTTCTTTGAGCACCATGTTGGCACTCAGATCTCAAACTTTGTAGCAGTTCAAATTTTAGAGTTTTGGATTAGGAATTCTCAATTTGTACTAACAGTTTTCTCTACTTTTTGCCAACAAGTAACTCTTACATGGTTTTTCTACTTAAAATATGATAAAAACACATATATACATGTTTATATATATAGTATATGTATATACTAAACTATACACTATATGTAATACATAATAAACTTCCAATTTTCTGCCAATTTAACCATTAATATAATGAAATTTCCATAATATACTTAATTTTGATAATTAAGTATATTATTGAAACCTTGTTGGGGTTTCTAGGGTATTAATCTGCCACTTGGTTATTTTTGTTTTGTTTTATACAGATGAAGTCTCATGATATTGCCCAGTCTAATTTTAAAACGCCTAAGCTCAAGTGATCCTCTTGCCTCAGCCTCGCAAAGTGCTGAAATTACAGGAATGAGCCACTGAGCTTATTTTTAAGTAACAAGACCCTTGAGAAAAAAAATCATAAAATCCTGTAACTGAGATTAAAAAAAAAAAAAACCCACTCTTTCAAATGTGTACATTATTTAATTCCACAGTACACAAAAAATATTATTAAGAATGCGTGGTGGTGGCAGCAGCAGAGGAGGAGGAAGAGGACAAAGAGGAGGAGGACAAGGAGGATGAAGAAACAAAGATGACGAAGAGGACAAAGACGATGAAAACAAAGACGATGAAGACGAAAAAGAAAAGGATATCAGGGAAGATGGGAGAACAGAAAACGCCAGGAATCCATTACTATACCAAGACAAAAAATGTACTAGCCGAATCAGATGTAAGTATCCTGAAACTCTAGAGTCAATCTGAACTTCTACACTTAACAATTTCAGCCTCCAATGCCATAGCTGCTACTGCTACCCATTTCTGACACGCACACTCCCAACCTGCCCATGCAATGACAGGCAGCTACGGAGACAACAATACAGGTTTCTGGTACAGCTTCTGGAGACAGGTGGGCAGTAAGGACCACGTCCCTGAACATCAAGATTCTCTGTTCCGACAGCTAGCTGATTGCTAATTCTGACTGGTGAGGTACAGGCACAGAGGCTGGCTGCCATTGTTTCAACACAAACCATCTGAAATGATTACTAGAGGTCTTAGAGTTGTACTTTTTTTTTGCGGAACAAAACAAAAAAGGAAAGAACAAAAAGTCCACAGAAAATATACCTGAAGTCCACCTGTTGCACTTCCTAGACGAATGTTTTTTTTTTTTTTTTTGAGACAGTCTTGCTCTGTCACCCAGGCTGGAGTGCAGTGGTGCGATCTCAGCTCACTGCCACGTGTGCCTCCCAGGTTCAAGTGATTCTCATGCCTCAGCCTCCCAAGTAGCTGGGACCACAGGTGTGTGCCACCACACCCAGCTAGTTTTGTTTTTGTTTTTGTTTTTTTTGTTTAGTTGGGTTTTTTTTGTATTTTTAGTGAAGACAGGGTTTCGCCATGTTGGCCAGGCTGGTCTTAAACTTCTGACCTCAAGTGATCCACCTGCCTCGGCCTCCCAAAGTGCTAGGATTACAGGTGTGACTCACCACTCAGCCACTAGACAAAGATTTTAAAAAACTTTATCTCAAAGATAGTAAGAGTAAAGACAGGAAAACAATGCATGAACAAAATGAGAATATCAGCAAAGGGACAGAAATTATAAAAAGGAACCAAAAAGAAATTATGGAAATGAAAGGTACAACAACTGAAATGAACAATACACTACACAAGGATTCAAAGGCAGCTCTGAGCAAGCGGAAAAAAGAATCAGCATACCCGTAAGTAGGACAACTGAAATTATCAAGTCTGAGGAAAAGAAGAAAAATGAATAGCCTAAGGGACCTGTGGGATACCATGAAGCAGAGCAACACATTCATTTTGGAAATCCCAGAATGCAAAGAAAAATGGAAAGACAGAATACTTAAATAACTAACTAAATAAATAACCAATTTCATGAAAGACATGAATCTACAAATCCAAGATGTTCAACAAACTCCAAGGAAGATACACTCAAAAAGACCCCTATCGATACACAATGCAATCAGAATGTAGGAAGCCAAAGACGAAAATCTCAAAAACCACAAGTAACTTGTCACATATAAGAGATCCTCGATAAGATTATCAGCGAATTTCTCATCCAAAACGTTAGAGGCCAGAAGGCAATGAGCTGATATATTCAAGGGGCTAAAAGAAAAATCTTGCAATAAGAATTCTAAATTCAGCAAAACTGTCCTTCAAAAATTAGGGTTGAAATTAAGACATTCGCAGAAAAAAGCTGAAGGAGTTTGTGACACTTACACCTGCCCCATAAAAATTGCTAAAAGACAGTTTCCCAGTGTGCTTCTAGCCACTAAATGGGAGAAGGGGACACAAGATGGTAGCAACCACAAACTCTAGTTCCAGCCTCCCGCTGCTCAATGACCTGGTTAGCACTGGGGCAGCCAGGGCTGAAATGACCTGGCCTCAGCTAGCCTGAGCCGAAAAGAGTAGCTTTTTTTCACAGCCAGCCAAATGACTCAGAAAACCTAGAATGTTTGAGGAAAAAGTGTTCACTATGTTGGGTTGGGCAACATGTGGAGGAACTGAAAGCCTGGAGCCTGGGCCCAGGAATTGAGGAAATGTGAGGCTGGGGCTCAGAGGTGCTCACACTGAGGCAGACCCTTGGGTGATCAGGTAGTTGCCAGAATGCTTCAATGCTCACCTCCAACTCCTGATTGAGTACTTGGTGCTCTTGTGGTGCACTGTACCAGACCCCATGCTATACAAGCTTGCTGGGACCAGCCCAATCTCAGAGCCCCACATCCCTCTGTTGTTGCTGTATCCCCCATGAGGCACTTGTCTCTATCCTGCAAGACAGGCACTCCCCGAGGAAAGGGACAGCAGCAATGAATTATCCCTGTGTTCTCAGTGACCAGCATGAAACCCAGCACGAATATGCATTAGTAATTGTTGGAATGAACCCTTTTCATGTCTTCAAAAGTTCTGGGGAATAATGGAATGATTTAATTTGGTCTTTGAGTAGGGTACAAGATGAATAAATATAAATTGTCTTGCAAAGAGAAAAAAAATGAGACAAATGCTAAAGAGTCCTTCCAGTTGAAATGAAATAAGAAAGATCTCTGATAAATACACAGGCAATTATTACAGATAATACTGAAATTTCAGTTTGTAACTCCACTTTTTATTTTCCACATGATTTAAAAAACAAAGAATAATTATTAACCTGCCTTACTAGGCACACAACATACCAAGTTGCAATTTGTGACAGTAGTAATAAAAATGGAGAGATGGAGTCATTAGGAGCAGAGTTTTTACATGGCATTGAAGTTAAGCTGGTATAAATTGAAATTAGATTGTTATACCTTTAGGAAGTTAAATGTAATCTCCATGTTAAATACAGAAGAAAATTAAAAGGAAATCGAACTGTTTCACTACAAAAACAACAACAACAACAACAACAACAAACAAACACAAACCACCAAAACAACTAAACATACAAAAAAGGCAGTAATGGAAGAAATGAGGCAGAAAAACACTACAAGACATAGAGAAAAGAAAAGGCAAAATAACACAAGTTTGTCCCTCTTTATGAGTAATTATTTTAAATGTAAATGGTTTAACTCTCCAATCAAAAGAAAAAGACAGAATTGGTATTTTTTTAAAACTTGATCCAATTGTCTATAAGAGGTTTGCTTTATATCCAAAGACACAAAAAGGTTTAATGTGAAAGGACAGAAAAAGATATTCCACGCAAATAGCAAGCAAAAGCTAGCTGGGTTGGCTATACTAACATCAAATAAGATACAATTTAAATTTTAAAAAGGTTACCAGAAAAAAACAAATGGAATTACCATTTAATCCAGCAATCTGACTCCTAGGTATATGTCTAAAAGAATTCAAAGCAAGATCTCAAAGAGGTATCTGTACTCCCATGATCACTACAGCGTTATTCCTAACAGCCAGGATGTAAAAGCAGCCCAAATGTCCATCAACAGATGAATGAATTTAAAAAAAAAAAAAAAAAAGTGCTACAGGCCAGGCACAGTGGCTCATGCCTGTAATCCCAGCACTTTGGGAGGCCAAGGCGGGTGGATCACTTGAGCCCAGGAAATCAAGACTAGCCAGGTCAACATGGCAAAACCCTGTCTCTACTAAAAAATACAAAACTTAGTCAGGCACGGTGGGCATGTGCCCATAGTCCCAGCTACTTCAGAGGCTGAAGTGGGAGGATGGCTTAATCCTGGAAGGTCAAGGTTGCAGTGAGCCATAATTGTGCCACAGCACTCCAGCCTGGGTGAAAGCGCACACACACACACACACACACACATACACACACACACTGCAATACTATTCATCCTTAAAAACGAAGAAAATGCTGACACATGCCACAACACAGATGAATGTTGAAGAGATTAGGCTAAGTGAAATAAGCCAGTCACAAAAGGACAAATATTTAATGATTCCACTTATATCAGAAACCTAGACTACTCAAAATCACGGAAACAGAAAGTAGAATAGAGGTTACAACCCAAAGTTGATGAGAGGGGAAAATGAGGAGAGTTGTTGTTCAATGGGTACAGAGTTTCAGTTTTGCAATATAAATAAGTTCTAGAGATCTATTGCACAATGCAAATAGACTTAACATTAGTGAACTACACACTTAAAAATGATTAAAGGGGATCAACTGCATTTTTTCAAACCACAATTTAAAGTGTTTTCATAAGTTTACTAAAGATAAACTTTAGTAATACAAGATTCAAAATACCAAGAAGATATGACCATAAACATTATGAAAGAATGGAAGAAATAGAGAAATAAAAAGTTCCACAATAATAGTTGGAGACTTCAATATCCAATTTTCAATAAAGAGAATAATCATAAACAAGGAAATAGAGAATCTGAACAACACAATAAGCCAAATAGACCTAGCAGGCATACACAGAACACTCCAACAGCAGCAGAAAACACATTTTTCTCAAGTACATGTGGGACATGTTCCAAGATAGACTGGATGCTAGACCACAAGTCTCAACAGATATTAAAATACAGATAATCATACTAAAATGTTTCTCTACCCACAGCAGGAAGAAGCTGAAAATCAGTACCAGAAGGAAAACTGGACAACGCACAAATATGTAGAAATTAACACATTCAAACAGTCAAAGGATCAAAAATGAAATCACAAGGGAAATTAGAAAATATTTACAGATAAAATACAACAAAAAATAGAATGCAGAAAGAACAATGTTCAGAGGAAAATTTTATTTATGCATGAAAACTTATGTTTACAAATGTAAATGTGAATTTAAAAAAAAAATCTCAATTCAACAACTAAACTTTACAACTTAGGGAAGGAACTACAAGAGAAACAAACCTAAAGCTAGTAGAAGGAAGAAAATGATTAGAGATAAATAAAATAAAGAATATGAAAATAGTACAGAAAGCTGGTCAGATGCAGTTCATGCCTGTTGTAATACTCTCACTTTGAGAGGCCAAGGGGGAAAGACTGCTTTACATCAGAAGTTCAATACCAACCTGAGCAACACGGTGAAATCCTTTCTCTACAAAAAATATTTAAAAATTAGCCAGGAGTGGTGGCACAAGCCTGTAGTCCTAGCTACTTGAGAGGCTAAGGCAGAAGGACTGCCTGAGCCCAGAAGGTTAAGATTACAACACTGCATACTCCAGCTTGGGCAACAGAGCAAGAAATTCTCTCTTTACAAAACAGTAAGAATGGGCCGGGCGTGGTGGCTCACGTCTGTAATCCCAGCACTTTGGGAGGCCAAGGCAGGTGGATCACATGAGGTCATAAGTTTGAGATCAGCCTGGCCGACATGGCGAAATCCCATCTCTACTAAAAATACAAAAAATTTGCTGGGTGTGGTGGCACATGCCTGTAGTCCCAGCTACTCAGGAGGCTGAGACAGGAGAATCACTTGAACCTGGGAGGCGGAGGCTGCAGTGAACCAAGATTGCACCACGGCACTCCAGCCTGGGCAAGACAGAGCGAGATTCCATCTAAAATAAATAAATAAATAAATAAATAAATAAGAATGTTAATAGAGAAAACTAACAAAACCAAAGGACGGTTTGTTAAAGAATTTTATAAATGACAACCCTTTAGCTAGACTATGGGGAAAAAAAAGACAAAGAACTCAAAGCTGCAATGAAAATGAGGGCATTCATACTAAACTTATAGTTCTAAAAAAATTATGAGATATTATAATTGTACACGAGAAAATTGGACAACCTGGAAGATTCCTTTCATGATAAAAATTCTCAGAAAACTAAAAGAGAAAAAAAATCAACATGATAAAGGGTACTTATCAAAAACCCACAGGCAATATCATACTCAATGATGAATAACATATTTCCCCCTAAGATCAGAACAAGACAAGGATGCCCATATTTACCACTGCTACTCAACACTGTAATGAACTACTAGCCAGAGCTACTAGACAAAAATATGAAAGGCATCCAAATGAGAAAGGAAGATGTAAAACTATCTCTAATTGCAAATGACATAATCATATACATATAGAAAATCCTAAAGAATCCACAGGAGAACTACTAAGCTGAGAAGCAAATTCACCAAGTTGCAAGGAACAAGATCAAAATGCAAAAATCAGCTATATTTCTATACACTAGAAATGAACAATCCGAAAAGAAAATTAAGAAAGTAACACAATTTTCAAAAGCATGTAAAAGAATACTCAGGAACAAATCTAACCAAAGAGGGTAAAGTTTTGTATTCTGAAAACTACAAAACATTGCTAAAATAAATTAAAAACCTAAATAAAGACAAAGACATTCATGTTAACGGATAGGAAGACTTATTTTGTTAAGATATTAATACTGCCTCCAAAGTGATCCACAGAGTCAATGCAATATCTATTCTTTTTTACAAAACTGGAAAAGCTGATCTTCAAATTCATACAGAATTGCAAGGGACTGTAAATAGCCAGAACAGTCTGAAAAAGATGACTTTGAAACTTGCAAAAAGAAAAAAAAGAAAAAACAAAAAGCAACAGTAGTAATTAAATAGTATGGTACTGACATAAGGACACACATGTAGGCCAGTGGAGAAGAATGCAGATCCCAAAAATAAACCTTCATATGAAAAAGGTCAACTGACTTTCAACCAAGGTTGCCAAGGCCATTTAATGGGGGAAGGACAGTTTTTTCAACAAATGGTGTTAGGAAAACTGAATATTTACATGTAAAAAGAATAAAGTTTAATCTTTACCTTACACCACATGTAACAAATCAAAACACATCAAATACTTAAAAGAAAAATCTTTTTTTAAAAACCCTTAGAAGGAAAAGATAAGGATTGTAATCTTCATGACATTGGATTTGAAAATTATTTCTTGGGTATGACGCCAAAAATAGTCAACAACAACAAAGATATGTTAGACTTCATCAAAATTAAAAACTTTTGTGCATCAAAGGACACTAGAAGAATGAAAATAAACCATAGATCACACAGCAAAAAATAAAGCATCTGACAAAATTCAACATCCATTCATGATAAAAACGCTCAAAAGAACAGGCATAGAAGGAACTTACCTCAGCATAAGAGGCCATATATGAAAAGCCCACAGTTGTTTTTTTTTTTTTTTTTTTTTTTGAGACAGTCTCACTCTGTCACCCAGCCTAAAGTGCTCGGCTGGGTGATCTCGGCTCACTGCAACCTCTGCCTCCCAGGTTCAAGCAATTCTCCTGTCTCAGCCTGCCAAGTAGCTGGGACTACAGGCGCCCACCACCACACCAGGCTAATTTTTCTATTTTTAGTAGAAACGAGGTTTCACTATGTTGGCCAGGCTGGTCTTGAACTCCTGACCTCACGATCCACCCGCCTCAGCTTCCCAAAATGCTGGGATGCCTGGCCAGCTTTTTTTCATATATAAAGCACACAAATAATAGCATAAATCAGTAAGGAAAAACTGAAAGCTTTTCCTCTAAGATCCAGGAAAGGCAAGGATGCCCCAGTATTACCACTCCTATTCAATTTAATACTGAAATTCCAAGAGAGAAGACTTAAGGAATAAAAGGACTCCAAATAGAAAACAGGAAAGAAAAATTATCTTTTTACAAATGATCATATATATGTAGAAAAACCTTACAACTCCACAACAACAGAAAACTGTTAGAACTAATAAATGAATACAGTAAAGCTGCTGGATCCAAGTTAATATAAAAAAATCAGCAGCATTTCTAAGTACAAGCAGGCTATCTGAAAACGCAATTAAGAAAACAGTCCCGTTTACCACAGCAACAAAAGTATTTTACAATATGTAGAAATAAACTTAGCCAAAGAAGTAAAAGACTTGTACACTGAAAATTATAAAACACTGAAGGAAATTAAAGAAGAAACACATAAATAAAAAGACATTCCATATTCATGCACTGAAGGAAAAATATCATTAAAAGTCCATACCACCCAAAATCTACAGAGTCAACGCAATCCCTATCAAAATCTCAATGGCAGTCTTTTGTTTTGAGACAGGGTCTCATTTTGTCAGCCAAGCTGGAGTACAGTGGCACCATCTTGGCTCATTGCAGCCTCGACGTCCTGGGCTCAAGCAATCCTCCACCTCAGCCTCCCAAGTAGCTGGGACTACAGGGACGTACCACCACATCCAACTAGTTTTTTGTATTTTTGGTACAGACAGGGTTTCAGCATGTTGCTCAGGCTAGTCTCGAACTTCTGAGCTCAAGCTATCAGAAGTTAGCTCCTTGGCCTCCCCAAAGTGCTGGGATTAATAGGCGTGTGCCACCACACCCAGCCTCAATGGCATTCCTTACAAAAATAGAAAAAACAGCCCTAAAATTCATACAGAACCACAAAAGGCCCCAAATAGCAAAAAACAATCTTGAGTAAGAATAGAGTTGGAAGTATCACACTTTTTAATTCCAAAATACATTACATGACTACAGTAATCAAAACAATATGAGCCAGGTGCAGTGGCTCACACATGTAATCTCAACAATCTGGGAGGCTGAGGAAGGAGGACTGCTTGAGGCCAGGAGTTTGAGATCTGCCTGGGCAATACAGCAAGACCCAGTCTCTACAAAACAATTTAAAAAAATTAAAAGTTAGCTGGGCATGGTGGCATGCTCTTGTAGTCCTAGCTATTTTGAAAGGCTGAGGCAGGAAGATCACCTCAGTGCAGGAAGTCGAGGCTGCAATGAGCTGTGACTGAACCACTGCACTCCAACCTGGACAACAGAGCAAGACCCTGTCCATTAAAAATACATATTATATATGGCACTGGCATAAAAACAGACATATGGACCCATAGAACAAATAAAAACCCCAGAAACAAATCCATGCATCTACAATCAACTGATCTTCCAGAAGGATGCCAAGAACATATGATAGGGAAAGGACAGTCTCTTCAACAAAAGGTGATGGGAAAACCTGATATCCACATACAGAATGAAACTGGATCCTTATCTTATACCACACACAAAAATCAACTCAAAATGGATTAAAAACTTCAAAGTACATTTAAGACCTGAAATTGTAAAACTACTAGAAGGTGACACAGGTTAAAAAGCTTCTTGACAATGGTCTAGGAAATAATTTTTTTGACAGGAACTATTAGCATAGGCAACATAAGCCAAAATATACAATTGAGATTTCATCAAACCAACAAGCTTCTGCACAGCAAAGGAAACAACAGAGTGAAAAAGCAACCTACAAAATGGAATAAAATATTTACAAACCATGTATTGATTAGGGGTTAATATCCAGAATATTTAAGAAACTCATACAACTCAATAGCAAAAAAATAATAAATAAATAAATAAATAAATAACCCTATGTAGGGCAAAGAAAATAGACATTTCTCAAAAAAAGACAAACAAATAGCCAATAGGTATAAAAGCTGCTCAATATCACTAATCATCAGAGAAACGCAAATCAAAAGCATATCTCACACCTACGTTGTAACAACTATTATCAAAAAGACAAAAGATAAATGTTAGCAAGAAATGTGGAGAAATGGGAATCCTTATACACTGTTGGTGGGAATGAAAACTGGTACAGTCATTTTTGAAAGCAACATGGACGTTCCTCAAAAAATTAAACAGAACTATCTTATGTTATGATCCACAATCCCACTTTGGATACATATCCAAAGGAAATGAAATCACTATCTCAGAGATATCTTCACTCTCACATTCACTGCAGTATTATTCCCAAGAGCCAAGATATGGAAAAAAAACTAAACATCTTTCCACAGATGAATAGACAAAATGTGGTGTACATATACATACACACATAGGGATATTATTCAGCTTTTAAAAAGGAGGAAATCCTTCCATTTTTGACAACATGACTGACCCTAGTAAAGATTATGCTAGGTGAAATAAACCAGACAAAGAGAGATAAATGCTGCATAGTCTCACTTACATGATGAATTTAAAGTAGTCAAAGAAGCGGAGAGTACAGGAGGAGAGAGAAATAAGTTGACATCAGTAAAAGAGTATAAAGTTTAAGTTCTCCAAAATGAGTAAATTCTGGAGATCTCATGTACAGCAATGTGACTACAGTTAACAATACTGTATTACATACTTGAAAGAAAATGGTAACCATGTGAGGTAATAGATATGTGAATTAGCTTGACTGTAGTGATTATTTCACACTATGCACATTAAAACATCAAGTTGTACACCTTAAATACATAATTTTTATATTTGTATAGTATTTCTCAGTATTTGCCTATTATATCTCAATTTAAAAAGAAAAACAGACTTAGAGAAATTATATGCAAATTATATACCTGATTTTAAAAATTAACATCCAGAATATTTTTTGTAAAACTCAAAAGAAAACCAAACAAAACCCAATCAAAAATGGGCAAAAGACATGAACAGACATTTCTCCGAAGCAAATATGCAAATAGCCAATGAGCACAGGAAAGCATGTTCAATATAATTAATCACCAGGAAAATGCAAATAAAAACCACAATGAGATACAAATTCACACCTACTAGGATAGCTGAATTTTTTTTCAAAATGGAAGTAACAAGTATAGGCAAGGATGTGGAGAAACCAGAACCCTCTGGTATCACTGGTGAGAATGTAAAATGGTGCAGCTTTTGTGCAAAACAATTTGGTGCCTTCTCAAAAAGTTTAACACAGAATTACCATGTGATCCAGACATCCTACTCCTAGGTACACGATCTTGTGTGGCTTCAGGATAGGGATACGTTCTGAGAAATGCCCTCTTGTGAACATCAGAGCATACTTATACAAAAGATGGTAGAGTCTACTACACACCTAGGCTATATGCTATAGTTTACTGCTCCTGTATAGCATGTTACTGTACTGAATACTGTAGGCAACTGTAACTCAACGGTAAATAACACAGAAAAAGTAATTTGTTGCACTATACTAGGACAGTTATCACAATGTCATGAGGTGATACAAATTATAATAAGCTCCATTATAATCTTACGGGAACACTGTTGTATATGTATGTGGTGTGTTGTTGACTGAAACATGGTTATACAACACATGACTGTATATACAAAATAACTGAAAGCAGGAAATGGAACAGATATTTGTAAACCCATGTTCACAGCAGCATTACTCATAATATCCAAAAGGTGGAAACAACCCAAATGTCCACTGATGGATGAATAAAATGCAGTATATACATACAGTAGAGTATTAGTCATAAAAGGAATGAAATTTTAATGTTTGCTATGACATAGATTATCACCACTATCTGTACGCAAAACATTTTCATCATCACCAATAACAACTTTGTACCTATAAAATAACAACTTTGGAAACATTATGTTAGTAAAGTAAGCCACACAGAGAAGGACAAATATTATGATTCCACTTATAGAAGGTACCTAGAATAGGCAAACTCATGGAGACAGAAGATGACAGAATGTAAAACAGCTGAGCATGGTGGCTCACACCTAAAATCCCCGCACTTTGGGAGACCAAGGCAGGTGAATGGCTTGAGCCCAAACATTGGAGACCAGCCTGAGCAATACAAGACACCATCTCTACAAAAAATACAAAAATTAGGTAGGCATGCTTTAGTCCCAGCTACTCAGGAGTCTGAGGCCAGAGGGTCACTTGAGCCCAGGAGTTTTGAGGCTGCAGCAGTGAGCTGTAATTGTGCTGCTGCATCCAGCCCAAGTGATACAGCAAGACGCTGTCTCCAAAAAAGGAATGTAAAACAGAAGAAACCAGGGGCTGAAAGGACGAAGGAAATTAAGAGTTATTATTTTATAGGTACAAAGTTGTTACTGGTAATGATGAAAATGTTTTGCATACAGATAGTGGTGATAGTTACACAACATTATGAATATCTTATATCCCATTAACTTGTACACATATAAATGGTGAAAATGGTAAATTTTATGTTATACATATTTTACGACACTATAAAATAAAAGGAAAATACAAGAAAAAGTACATATATATTAAAAGCCTTCAACCAAGGCCAGGAGCAGTGGCTCATGTCTATTATCCCAGCACTTTGGGAGGTCGAGACAGGCAGATCACTTCAGGTCAGGAGTTTGAGACCAGCCTAGCTGACATGATGAAACCTCGTCACTATTAAAAATACAAAAATTAGACAATGTGGTGGTGCGCACGTCTGTAATCCCAGCTACTCGGGAGGCTAAGGTAGAAGTATTGCTTGAGCTCCGGAGACGGAGGTTACAGTGAGCCAAGATCGTACCACTGTACTCCAGCCTGGGCAACAGAGCAAGACTCTGTCTCAAAAAAATAATTTAAAAATATAAATAAATAAATAAATAAATAGGCTGGGTGTGGTGGCTCATGCCTATAATCCCAGCAATTTGGGAGATCAAGGCAGGCAGATCACAAGGTTAGGAGTTTGAGACCAGCCTGACCAACATGGTGAAATCCCGTCTCTACTAAAACTACAAAAATTAGCCAGGCATGGAGGTGCGCGCCTATAATCCCAGCTACTCAGGAGGCTGAGGCAGGAGAACTGCTTGAACCAGGGAGGGAGAGGTTGCAGTAAGCTGAGATTGCCCCATTGCACTCCAGCCTGGGCAACAGAGCAAGACTCCATTTCAAAATACACACACACACACACACACACACACACACACACACGTGTGTTTATTTATAAATGTGTGTGTGTGTGTGTGTATATATGTATGTATGTATGTATGTATGCCTTCAAAAACTCAGAACAAAACAGAACACAAAAACCCTCATGGGATCAATGAACACTTTAAAAAAAGACAAACCACATGAGAGAAAAACCTTGCCAGCAGGAAATGAGGAGAACATTCACTCAAACTCTTCTTTAAGAATAAACAAAAGAGACATTTCAAGTGTGTACAACTCCAGAATATAACATCCACAAATTTCTCTTCAGGAAAAAAAACCTACTCTGTGAAATCCATAAGAATAAATACAATTAATTCTGGAGTAAGGAAGAAAGGAATGACAAAAACAGGAGTTGAGGAAAAAGGATTTGTCAGAGTCACATACCTAAATATAGCATAATACTAAACAACTGTGGGAATTACGGTTATAGTATATAATCTAAATGTTATAATATTTGATAAAATACAAGTAACAATAAAAACTGGGAGGTGGAAAATGAGAAAGGAGAAAATTGTTGAATTTCATCATCCTCTAGAGAAGAAAATCATTACTGTACTTTATAATAAAAAGAACAAATCCACAAAGAAAATTAAAGTTCCCATCAGACACAAAACTTACACATTTCTGAAAGACTAAAATGACTGGGAACACCTATTTATTTATTTATTTATTTATTTGAGACACAGTCTCACTCTGCTGCCCAGGCTGGGGTACAATGGCGTGATCTCAGCTTACTACAACCTCTGCCTCAGCCTCCTGAGTAGCTGGGATTACAGGCATGCGCCGCCATGCCTGGCTAATTTTTGTACTTTTAGTAGAGACAGGGTTTCATCATGTTGGTCAGGCTGGTCTTGAACCGCTGACTTTGTGATCCGCCCACGTTGGCCTCCCAAAGTGCTGGGATTGTAGGCGTGAGCCACCACGCCCAGACAGTGAATACCTTTTTAAAATGTAATAGGTAAAGAAAGTTGTAGCTCAGAGTAAGTTGTAAGAAAGCTATAGAGGAGGTAGGTGAGATGATCTTCCCAACATAACTGAGAAAGATTCTGGGCTCAGAATAAGAGATTTGATGGACAGAAGGAAGACATGGAGATGGAGACGGGACTTAAATGAAGTTTTCTATAAAGTATGATTCTTTCTGTCAGCCACCCGTCAGTCAGAAAAACACGAGCAGCCAACATATAGGTAACCCATCCACCAGAGATCTTCCCTGGGGGAGAAAACTACATAAAGTAATTGCATGTAAATACAGATACTGGTACCACTGTACATTCTCTCATTTAGAGTCCTACAACCTGAAATGAAAGCTTGATGAGACAAATGAGAAAAGTACGAGTAGTTATGCCTCCAATACTATTCCCCGAGAAGTTGCCAGACAAGAGTTCCATTTGAGAGACAGCACTAATAGAAAAATATGTGAAATTCCAAAGTATATACAACATTTATGTAGTTGTCTCTTAGAAATATGAATGTGGCCGGGTGTGGTGGCTCACAGCTATAACCCCTGCACTTTGGGAGTGCAACGCAGGAGGATCGCTTGAGCTCAGGAGTTCGAGACCAGTCTGGGCAACAAGGCAAAGCCTCGTCTCTGCAAAAAAACACAAAAATTAGCCAAGCATGGTGGTGTGCATCTGTAGTCCCAGCTACTTAGGAGGCTGAGGTGGGACAATAACTTGAGCCCAGGAGGCAGAAGCTGCAGCAAGTCAAGACTCCACCACCGTACTCTAGCCTTGGCAACAGAACAAACAGCAAAGGCATATGAAGAGACCCACAACATAAAAAATCCAGTACAGACAAGAGATATGAATATGTAACAGAGGAAGAAATAATCCCTCCTAGTAACAGTTCCTGAAAGGGCGAGAAGGACTAAGATTCAAATTATGAAACGTAACATAGAAAGGGCTATTGCAGTGGCCAGACTGTAACTCAAGTACAGTTATGACTTCACATGCTAGCAGTATGCGACACTGTCTTATAAGGCAATAATTTAAATATGTTTAGAAGCACGAGTGCGCGCGCACACACACACGCGCGCGCACACACACAAATGCAATTTGCCAGGTGGTGGCTCGTGTCTGTAGTTTCAGCTACTTGAAAGGCTCACTTGAGCCCAGAAGTTCAAGGCTGCAATGAGCTAATTACACCACTGCGCTCCAGCCTAGGTGAGGGCTGGAGACTCCATCTCAAACAAACAAGCACACAATGTTAGACATGGGAAGTCAAAGAAAATACATTGAAAATCTACCACAACCAACCTAAGAATTCAGTGAAGGCTCAAGGCACACAATCATTAGTAATGAAAAATATTTTAATTTTATATATATCTCTATATCTCCATCACTAAATATAGTAAAAGAAATAGCAACATAATGGAAGAAATATAATTGAAGAAATCACAATTTATAATAGCAATAAAAAACAAATTCCTTAGATTAAGCATAGCACGAAATAAAAATCTATATACAAATAACTTTGAGACTGTGAATAATGCAAAAGAAAAAAGAAAAAGAGTATCATACTTTGGACAGGAAGACAGAACTTCAGTTCTCAAATTAATCATCATTAACACAATGAAAATATTTTACCCCAATGCTAAAATTCGTATGAAGAAATAAATAAGACAGAAAAGTTATAACAATAATGAGGAAGGACTAGTCGTCTCAGGCATTTAAAAATATTACAAAGAGGCAAGTAAAAATAAAGAAAAAAATTAGTATAAACTCGATGAACATGTCCTTAAACAACCGGAAAGTAAATATTTTAGGATTATGGGTGACAGGGTCTCTGTTATGATTACTGAACTCTGCTGTTGTGCTGTGGAAGCCACCATGGACAATATGTAAAAGAATGGGCACGTCAGGCCGGGCCCATTGGCTCACGCCTGTAATACCAGCACTTTGTGAGGCCAAGGCGGAAGGATTATGAGGTTAAGAGATTGAGACCATCTTGGCCAACATGGTGAAACCCGGTCTCTACTAAAAACACAAAAATTAGCTGGGCGTGGTGGCGCGTGCCTGTAATCCCAGCTAGTGAGGAGGCTGAGGCAGGAGAATCCTTTGAACCCGGGAGGCAGAGGTTGCTGTGAGCCAAGATCACGCCACTGCACTCCAGCCTGGGTGACAGAGCAAGACTCCATCTCAAAAAAAAAAAAGAAGAATGGGCATGTCTGTGTAGCAAGAATTTCCAAAAACAGATAGCTGGCCCACAGACTATAAGTTTACCAATCCCTGGTATAGATCATAATTATACACACAAATAGGTCAGTCTAGAAAGTTCAAAAAATTACCCAGTCAAGAAAAAATTGGTATATCAAGTCAGAAAGAAGAGTTAGTAAACAAATGGAATTGGAAAAATTGCACAACAAAAAAGGGAGGAAAGTTGGACACATACATAACACTTTAAACCAACATAAATCCCAGCTGGATCAAAGATTAAGATATATAATTGCAATAGAAAATGTATAGGGAGAAACTAAAGGAGAATTCTCTTATAATGTTGTGAATGGAGAAGGCATTTCAAACCAAGATACAAAATCTACAGACCATAAAAACTACAACCACAAATATGAAACTGAACAGTAAAAACCACCTTAAGCAAAGCAAAAAGGCATCAAACCAGGATACAGTAATAAGTTGTAATCACAAACAAAAGATCAACTTCAGTGACACATAAAGAACTCCTACAAATAAAAAAAATAAGAAAAACAATTGATAAATAGCAAAAAATATGAACAATTCCAGAAAAAGCAACAAAATGGCTCTTAAACACAAGATTTGCAAACTCACTCATGATAAAAGAAACGCAAATTTAAAATACCAATGATATCACTTTTCACCCATCAGGTTGGCAAAGATCATGTAATTTAATGTGCTGACAAAATTAAGGGGAAAGTGAAACTGCCGTACCAGTATCTACCACAAGTAAACCACACATATTCTTTAACCTAGTAATTCTAATTCTACTTGTAAGTAAGAATTTATCATAGCTACACAAAAGTTTCACACAAGGATGAAATGAATGTGTTAGAAGTTACTTATTACAGCATTGTTTGTAACAGAAAAGACTCGGGGGGCCAGGAGTGGTGGCTCATGCCTGTAATCCCAGCACACTGGGAGGCCGAGGTGGGCGGATCATGAGGTCAGGAGTTCGAGACCAGCCTGACCAACATAGCGAAACCTTATCTCTACTAAAAATACAAAAATTAGCTGGGCGTGGCGGTGCATACCTATAGTCCTAGCTATTCAGGAGCGTGAGGCAGGAGAATCACTTGAACCGGGGAGGCGGAGGTTGCAGTAAGCCAAGACTGCGCCATGGCATTCCAGCCTGGGCTACAAAGCAAGATTCCGTCTCAAAAAAAAAAAAAAAAAAAAAAAAGACTGAGGGAAAAAATAATTAAACACTATACAGTTTTACAAGAAGATAAAAAGCACTTCATATATTGATGAGAAATCTCCAGAATAAATTAAGAAAGAAAAAAAAAAAAGTCAAAGCCACATCTGGTTGGTATGCTACATTTGTGAAAAAGAAAGAGGAAGAAAAATGTATACAGTTCGCTATTTATACAAAAAAATCTGATATACCTGAGAAGATAATAACTGCATGCTTGAGAGATGGGGCAGAAAGGAAAAACATGTAATATATTTTTTATATTTACTTTTGGAATTTTGAATCATGTGGATATATGCCTATTTAAAAAAAAAAAAAAAAAAACAGTACATCAGACAAGAAACATACCAATACAATAATTCAGGATAGAAGGGTAGACTGTATAAATGAGAATAACAGGAAAATGTCTCTTTATTAAACCAGGATGGTTTCATGAAGAAGCTCCAACTGACTGACTCTGATTTCCTTCCATTCTACCAGTAACATAGTAAGACATGGACTCGGAAGCCAGATTTCAGTCCCAGCTTGTCCATGTCTTGGTCTCCTTAGCTATAAAACAGGATAATAGAATTTACCTCACAGAGAAGCACTTAGAACATATGATAAGCAAAGCACTCAATAAATGTGAGCTGTTAATATTACCTGTGCTGCAGCCCAAATACAGTCAATATGTTGAGTACTCAGTCGCCCTTCTGCTGCCAAAAAATTCAAAATCACTTGGCACTGTTTGATAATCTGGAAAAGAAAAACTTAATATCAATTTTTAAAAATATTCTTCTCTATCAATAGAACAGAGAAGTTATGTAATCATCCACAAACCTCAATATGTAAATTTGGTCCAAATATATGCTCCACCACATTGTTGCTAATAAGCCAGTCTGCAAGTTCTTTTGCAATGGACCTAAAGTCAAGCAATGAAAATAGTACATTAAAAAAAATTGTCATCTTTTCTCATGTCTAAAAGGTAGAGTCAATTGAAAACCTAAATTTGTTCCTATAGGAATTATAAAGAATTAGATACAATCAGTTTTATAGAATACTACAAAGCATAACTAGAATGAAATATGATGCTGAATTTATAAATTCAAATTCCCTGAGTTTATAAACAAGCAACGAATAACTGAAAAGGTAACGATTAACACCAAGTACACAAGTGTAACACTGATTTAGTGATGTATTATCCTACTCGAGGTCTTTGCCTTCCCACTTTTTAATTTCCACAGTATGTATTGAAGCACTCAGGAAAGGTTTCCCAGTATGCCCTTTATAATGAGATAATATCAGGAAAATAGGTTGTCAAAAGGATGAACAACAAAAGAATTATCCCCAAGCCAAACTGTAAGTCTCCTGGCTGATACTATTGAAGATTCAATAGATGAAAAGTGAAGTAACAGACAGTCATGTACTGCATAATAATGATTTGGTCAATGGCAGACCAAAGGATGGACCAAATATACAACAGTGGTCCCATAAGATTAAAAGTGACTTGAACAATTCCTATCACCTAATGTCACTGTGGCCACCATGTCATAGAGCAATGCATTACTCACAGGTTTGTGGTGATGCTGATGTAAACAAATCTACTGCACTGCCAGTCATATAAAAGTATAGCATGTACATACAGTATATAATACTTAATAAATGACTGTTGCTGGTTTATGTATTTATTATACTTTTCATCTTTAAAGGATACTCTTTCTAGTTTTTTTAAAAAAAGGCACAGTCAGCATGGGAGATGACAGCTCCATGTGTATTATTAAAAAGTTAAAAAAAAAAAAAGGAAAGAAAACAGCTCACAGAATAAGAATATAAAGAAAAAATACTTTTGTACAGCCATACAACGTGTTTGTGTTTTAAATGTTATTATAAGAGTCAAAACGTTAAAAAATTTTAAGTTTATAAAAGTAAATAAAAAGTTAGAGTAAGCTAAGGTTAATTTAATAGTGAAGAAAAAAATTTTTAAATAATTTGTATAGCCTAAGTGTACAGTGCTTACAAAGTCTACAGTAGTGTAGAGTCACATCCTAGGCCTTCACATCTTCTCAGCGATCACTCACCAACTCACCCAGAGCAACTTCCAGTCCTGCAAGCTCCATTCTTGGTAAGCGTCCTATACAGGCAATACCCTATTTTATCTTTTTTGCAGGTTTTTTACATTATTTTTTCTACAGTTAGATATGTTTAGATACACAAATATTTACAAAGTGTTACAAATGCCCACAGAATTAAGTACAGTAAGATGCTGTACAGGCTTGGAGTCAAGCAGCAACAGGTTATACCACCTAGGTTTGTGTAACTTTGTACAATGAAGTCACCTCATGATGCATTTCTCAGAATGTATCCCTGTCATTAAGTACCATATGACTATATTATAAAATGGGTGGAAGAAAATAAGTTTCAAAATAAATTGTATAATAAAAGGTCCCCAATTTTTTCAACTATATTATATACAGATAAACTGGAAAGATTAAGTAATTTACTTTCTTATTGCATATCCAATGAAGAATTTACATTCTATAATAGAATTTTATGCTAACAATTTTTATTTATTAAAAAAAAACCACTAGGACTTACACATATGGACCTCAAAGGGTAAAACATTAAAAATAAAACTAGGTATATTTTACCTATTTCTGAGTAGCCCTACTGAAGTTACGATACATAAAATTCAACCCTCTGATTTACATAATAGTTCAAGAAACAAAATTCATTTCTAAAAAAAATTCCACTATTATTTAAGTCTATTAAAGGACATTAATAGAAGACCCAGGCTGGTGCTGTGGTTCACACCTGTAATCCTAGCACTTTGGGAGACTGAGGTCGAGGGGACTGCTTGAGCCTAGGAGTTCCAGGCCAGGCTGGGCAACGTAATGAAAGCCTGTTTCCGCCAGGCATGGTGGCTCATGCCTGTGGTCTCACTTACTAAGGAGGTTGAGGTGGGAGGATCATTTGAGTCCAGGTCAGAGCTGTAGTAAGGCATAATCGTGCTGTTGCTGCACTCCAGCTTGGGCAACAGAGCAAGACACTGTCTCAAAAATTTAAAGGGGAGACCCAGGGACTTTCGTAATAATGATGCAACTATAAAATTGGACAGTACCATTAATAACCACTATTCGGAGGTCTGAAAACATACATGCAATGGGGGTCAAAGTGGGAAGAGGTGCCAGAAAAAATATTTCAATACCCCAAACTTCCCAAAGTTGATGAAACACATTCATCTACACAACCAAGAAGTAGAACAAACTCCAGGATAAACACAAAGAAATCCACATCTACACATATTGTAGTCAAATGATTTAAAGGAGTAAGAGAAAAACAACTAAGCATACACAAGGGAACCAGAATAAGATTAATAGCTAACTTCTTATCCCAAACAGTAATGGAGCTACGTAGGAGCCATGTTTTTTATCTTATTTTATTAGAGTTAAATCAGTATGAATGTCAAGAAGTTGAATGCATATTTAACCCATAAAATCGCTAAGAAAATTAAGATATTTTTTAAATCAATGCAATTAAAATGTCACACTAGAATCTATATATATATACTATAAAAATAGATAGTAAAGGAGAAATAGAGAAACAAGATATGAGATACACAGAAAACCAACAGCAAAATGAGATGTAAAACAAGCTATATAAAATTATTAGTGAATTAAGAACTCTAATCAAGGCAGAGATTATATGACTAGTTTTTTTTTTTAAAGATCCAACTATATGCTACCCCCAAGACATACTTTAGCTTCAAAACAAGCAGACTGAAAATAAAAGAATGGAAAAAGATAAGCCATGCCAACAATAAGCTTAAGAAAGGTTCAGTGGTTATACCAATAACAAATAAAATAGACTAAGCCAAAAAATGTCTGAAAGAGACAAAGGACATTTAAAACGAAAAAAAGGATCAAGTTACCAGGAATACATATGGACCTAACAAAAGAATTCCTGAAATACATGAAGCAAAAACTGATGACAGAATTAAAAGGAGAAACACACAATTCAACAATACAGCTGATTCTTGTTACTCGCATTAGTTATATTCTACAGAGTCACTGCAAACACTGAATTAGCTAATACTGAACCCTTGGCCCTACAGGAAATATGTACATAATATAGATATCATACACAGATCTTGAATCTGAAAAACCTCTCATACTGGTTGACTCTATTTTCTCTATTTTACAAAAGAGAAAATGGCGTGGCCAAGTACGGTGGCTCACACCTGTAATCCCAGCACTTTGGGAGGCCAAGACGGGTGGACTGCTTGAGGTCAGGAGCTTAAGACCAGCCCGACCAACATGGTGAAACCCTGTCTCTAATGAAAAATACAAAAATTAGCCAGGCGTGGTGGCAGGTGCCTATAATCCCAGTTACTCAGGAGGCTGAGGCAGCACAATCGCTTGAAGCCAGGAGACAGAGGTTGCAGTGAGCCGAGATCGTGCCATTGCACTTCAGCCTGGGCAATAGAGCGAGACTCCATCTCAGGGAAAAAAAAAAAAAAAAAAACAGAGAAAATGAGGTTCAGAAGTGTTTAGATGCCTTGCCTGAGGCCAACCCTTATGCCTAAACAAGTGTTAGGGTTGGGATTCAAACCGCATCCAAGTGGCGCCAGGACTTCTTACACTCCACCACACTGCCCCTCAGCACCTCCATCTCCATATTCCATATTTGTGAAGAAAAATATTTTTTCTTCTCTTCCATGGTTTCTATATTTGTTAACTCATCCATTTGCTGCATTTTATTTGTAACTCCAAAATCAGTACTTGTGGCATTTTCATAGGCACTCACAGACATGCACATAGCAGTGAAAGATTAGAATTTTCCAATATGCACATTCCCACCTAAAGTCAAACAAGGTGGCACTCTCATCTTGCTTCAGAGCTCATACAGAGATGACCAAATCTGCACACACTCAGGATCAAATGTATCTGGAGACTTCAATACTTTTTTTTTTTTGAGAGACTACTTGCTCTGTTGCCCAGGCCGAAGTGCAGTGGCGCAACTTCGGCTCACTGCAAACTCCACCTCTCAGGTTCAAGTGATTCACCACCAGGCCCAGCTAATTTTTGTATTTTTAGTAGAGACGGGGTTTCGCCATGTTGCCCAGGCTAGTCTTGAACTCCTGACCTCAGGTGATCCACCAGCTTCGGCCTCCCAAAGTGCTGGGATTACAGGCATGAGCCACTGCACTCAGTCTCCTACTTTCAATAATAGAGAAGAACTAGGCAGAAAATGCAACAAGAATATAGGAAACAGACAACAACACTACAAACCAATTTGACCTAATAGACATCTATAGAACACCCCACAGAATACCCCATACGACAACAGCAGAATGTACAGTCTTCTTAGGCACACACAGAACAGTCTGTAGTACAGACCACATTAAGCCATAAAACACAACCAAGAATCCAATTAAAAACTGGACAATATTGTGAATGAAGAAACATTATGGCAAATAACCACATAAAAAGCTGCTCTACATCATTAATAATTAGGGAAATGCAAATTAAAACCATGATGAAATGCTACTTTACACCCCCTAAATGGCAATAATAAATCTAGATAATAACAACTGCTGGCAAGAATAGGGAGAAACTGGAAACCTCCTACAATGCTAGTGGGGATGTAAAATAATGCAGGTATACTGGAAAACAGTTTGACAGCTCCAATGAAAGTTAAAGGTAAACTAATCATATAAGCAACAATTCTAATCCTAAGTATCTACCATGAAAAATGAAAACATATGATCACAAAAGGACTTTACATAAATGTTTATAATGGCATTATTTATATTAATCAAAAAGTAGAAACAGGCGGGGCGCGGTGGCTCACGCCTGTAATCCCAGCACTTTGGGAGGCCAAGGCAGGCGGATCACGAGGTCAGGAGATCGAGTCCATCCTGGCTAACACAGTGAAACCCCGTCTCTACTAAAAATACAAAAAATTAGCCGGAAGTGGTGGCGGGTGCCTGTAGTCCCAGCTACTCGGGAGGCTGAAGCAGGAGAATGGCGTGAATCTGGGAGGCGGAGCTTGCAGTGAGCCAAGATCGCGCCACTGCACTCCAGCCTGGGTGACAGACCAAGACTCTGTCTCAAAAAAAAAAAAAAAAAAAAAAAAAAGTAGAAACAATCCAAATATCCATCAACTGGTACTTGATCAAGTGTGGTATATCTATACAATGTGATACTATTAAGCAATAAAAAGGAATAAAGTACAGAGACAAACTACAATCTCAATGAACCTCAAACAAACGAACAAGAGTATACTAAATGAAAAGAAGCCAGAAGAAAATGACTACTATCATTTGATTCCTTTTAAATGAAATATCTCAAAATGGGTAAATCTACAGAGACAGAAAGTAGATTAGTGAGGCTGGAAATAATAGGTACTGGCTACAAATGGGCAAAAGACATCTTTTTTAAGTGATGGAAATGTTCTAGAATTGGACTGTGGTGACAGCTGCACAACTCTAAGAATTTACTATTATAAAATTCATTGACTTGTATATTTTAAAAAGTGAATTTTATATGTATTTATATGTTAATAAAACTGCTTAAAAATACCCAATTCACAGCCGCCAACAATATTTATCACATGCTTTTTCTGTTTACTCCAATTTTCTCACACTGTACACATACTCTCCCTTGCCATCTTGAACTCTTTACCACCAGTCCTCAATACTTTTGTTCTCCTCCCTATTCTCTTAAACATGTCTTTGGGATGTATATTCCTTGCATTTGTTATTGGAATTCCTTCTTATTCCCCCATTCACTGTTTTCACACAACACCTAGCCTGAATGTGTTATTACTGCAGTGAACATTCCCAATTTTTGTCCTTTTCACAGGGGATGAGAGGAGTATGAATATCACATTAGCAATTACATAAGGTTCTCTTTAAGCGGTCTCGCGGAGGTGGAGGGGTGAGGGGACACAGGATGAAAATGAAAATCCAGAGCTGTAGGTTTATTTTGTTTGTTTTGGTTTTTTTCTGAGACATACTCTTGCTCTGTCGCCCAGGTTGGAGTGAAAATGGCACCATCTCGGGTCACTGCAATCTCTGTCTCCGGGTTTAAGTGATTCTCGTGCCTCAGCTACCCAAATAGCTGGAATCACAGGCATGCGCCACCACACCTAATTTTTGTATTTACAGTAGAGATGGAATTTCACCATGTTGGCCAGGCTGGCCTTGAACTCCTGGCCTCAAGTGATCTGCCCGCCTCAGCCTCCCAAAGTGCTGGGATACAGGCGTGAGCCACTGTGCCTGGCACAGAGCTGTAGCTTTATAAATACACTGGATATCGTCTACATAATGTCTTGACAGTGTGAAACAACACTTCTAATATAATCCAGAATTTATAAAGCAATGAAAAATTCTAGGCAACACACTTTAAGGGGATCACTGACAAAGAATATTGCCAGAGATGAATAACTCATATAGTGATAAATCCAAAAACCATACCACATAAAGAACAACTGGGAGAATAAGAACTCTTTAGCCTGAAGGGAAAAAAGAGTCAAGAGACAGTCTCTGGTTTCCAAATTCATGAAGACCTAGGTTCAACTGGGATTAGCGCCTTAGAGCAGTAGTAACATCAAGTTACACTAAAGTATGACTCACATGTATAATCAAGAATTTTCTAACAAACCAATCCAACTCTGTTCCAGAAAATATTCTATCCTACTGTTTGAGATTTTTAAAACTGATTTCTATACTAGATGAACAATTAAATGGAATACATATATTTCTCAGAACCAAAGAAGTTTAAGCTATAAAAACTACTTTTTTAACTCCCAATGTGATGTTATTGGAAATGGGGCCTTTGGGAGATAATTAGGTCATGAAGGTGGAGCCTTCATGAATGGGATTAGTGGCCTAATAAAAGGGACCCCAGAGACCTCTCTACCTCTTTCCACCATGCGAAAATAAAAGAAAATGGCCATCTACAGTCCAGAAGAAGGACCCCACCAGAACTTGACGATGCTGCCAACAACCTGATCTCGGACTTCCAGCCTCCAGAACTATGGGAAATAAATTTCTGTTGTTTATAAGTCATCCAATCTACAGTACTTTGTTACAGCAGCCTGGACTAAGACAGTGTACTTTCTGAAAACTATCAGTACCATATTTTTCAAGACTAAATTCTCCAGTATAAACAGTATGCTTTCATACTGTGACAAATAGTACTATATGTTCGCATACGCTTTTAAAAGAGAGAAATGTGGCCAGACACAGTGGCTCACGCCTGTAATCCCAACACTTTGGGAGACTGAGGCAAGTGGATGGCTTGAGTCTACAAGACTAGACTGAGCAACATGGCAAAACTCTGCCTCTGCAAATATCACAAAAATTAGCCAGGCATGCTGGCATGCGCCTATGGTCCCAGCTATCCGGGAGGCTGAGGTGGGAGGATCACCTGACCCTGGGAACTTGAGGCTGTAGTGAGCCATGGTCCCACCACTGTACTCCACCCTGGGCAACAGAGCAAGACCCTGTCTCAAAAAAAAGAGGGAGAGTGAGTTATGTTACAGACAGCATAATGTTCTGAAAGCTTCATGAAGAACTGTACACAATGTCAAAGGGCAAAGAATTTCTAGTAAAAATTTTAAATCTAAAAATTAGAATTTACCATATAAACAACTGTACATTAAAATGGTATACTTATATATAAATTAATGCTCCTACTTACGTTTCTGTGTCCGATACTAATGATTCATTATTGCACACATCATTGAAGGTATGGAGTTGATTCTATGATTAAAGACAAGAAATTAAGGGTTTTTATTTCCAAAATTATTCTTGCATTTGTCAGCAAATACTAACATGGTAAACTGATTGACATATGTAGATCACAATAACTAGATTAATATTATAAAATCTAAGACATAATCAGAGACACACGCTTCCCAATTACTAAAACTATTTCTGTTATATTAAAATACTAAATAATGGCCAGGCGCAGCGGCTCACACCTGTAATCCCAGCACTTTAGGAGGCCAAGGCAGGTGGATCACCTGAGGTCAGGAGCTCTGAGACCAGCCTTACCAACACAGTAAATCTCCATCTCTATTAAAAATACAAAATTAGCTGGGTATGGTGGCATGCGCCTAAAACGCGAGCTACTCAGAGGCTGAGGCACGAAAATCACTTGAACCCAGGAGGCAGAGGTTGCAGTGAGCCAAGATCGCGCCACTGCACTCCAGCCTGGGCGACAGAGTGAGAGTCCATCTCAAAAAAACGAAAAAAAAAAAAAAAAAAAAAAAACAACACTAAATTCATTCCACAAATAGTATTCTTTATTACACTAAGTGCACTGGAGAAAATAAAGCTGAGTAAGTAAAAAAACACAACAATTTAACGCAAGAGAGCAAGTAATATGTCATTATAGACAAAGTTTCAGGAAAGACTCCCCAGATAAATCCACTCAAGATTTAATTTATCTGGGACAATATCAACAAGTATCTTTTATATTTATGAAACCCGGTACACAAGTAAACTCCACCTATTTCACATTTTCAGTGTGACTACACTACCAAAACAAAACAAAACAAAAACAGTAATGTGGCCAGGTGGGGTGGCTCACGCCTGTAATCCCAACACTTTGGGAGGATGAGGCGGGTGGATCACCTGAGGTCAGGAATTCCAGACCAGCCTGGCCAACACGGTAAAAACCCATCTCTACTAAAAATGCAAAAAATTAGCTGGGTGTTGTGGCGCACACCTGTAGTCCCTGCTACTCAGGAGGCTGAGGCAAGAGCATCGCTTGAACCCAGGAGGTGGAGGTTGCAGTAAGCCGAGATCATGCCATTGCACAACAGAATGGGACTCCATCTCCAAGAAAAACCAAAAAACAAAACAAAACAAAACAAAAACCCAGAAATGTAAAGGAGTAAAGCAAATGGGGACTGCAACAAACCGGAGAAAGCATATTCATTCTGAGGGATAAAGTTAATTACTTAGTTCTAACAGACTGTTGTTATGCAAGAATACAGACCCAAGAATACCAGGCCTTCTTCCAACCCCCTCACCAAGAGAAGCCAAGAATACAGATTTTCATGTTACTTTGTCCTATTTAAAAACAGTATTTAAGACTATTCAAAACAAACATTTAGTAAAATTTGGCCTACGGCCCAATAATCTATGGTTTCTGCCTGGAAAATTAATTAACTGCTTATAAAGCCCTCCAATTATTCCTCTTTCTCAAAACATCTATAAACATAAAAACCTAAATAGTTTAAAAAGACAGAAACAAAATGATGAAAGAGTTGGACCCGGAAATCAAATGGACCCACAGTATAAATCCATATAAATCTAAGCTTCAGACTTATTTAAAATAAGAGAAACACAGAAATTATTTGTGAAGACCATATAAAGTAATCCACATAAAATACTTAGCACAATGCCTAGTATGAAGTGCTCCATAAATAGTGGGTAGTATTATGATAGACCAGAAAACAAATAAACGATGACCAAAAATAAAACAAATACAGCTTACTGTTATCTGACTCAATCCAGCCAACCTCATAGTCAAAGTAGGTGACATAAAGTACTTAAATGCAAGATCTAGGCTTTCTTTATCAAAGCATAATGTTGTATCCAATGGTTCTTTGACTGTGCTCCACATTAAGTCAGCCATGTTACGAGCTGCACTCTGTCGTAACTCCTGATCCGAGAGCTTGCATAAATACCTGAAATGATTCAGAAATAGAAAATACACAAAAATTCATAAAGCATTTTTAAAGACCACTCAGTAACTTAAAATGTACATTGTAAGCATTAACATTTTTTGTGTCCAAAACCCACAAACCTCTGGTTTTCCTCTCAGGCCCTGCCTAATCTCTTTGGCAGATTCCTTCTCTGCTGTCCAACCTTTCAACATTAGTCTTCCTCAAGGCCTGTAATGGATTACAAAATGGCCACAAATTCCTCCCATCATTATATGTACAAGAATTTGCAATGTGACTTTGCTATTCCTCTCATCAAAAGGTGTAATCTATTTCTACACCTTAAATCTGGGCCTTGCCATGTAACTTGCTTTGGCCAATGAGATATTAATAGACATGACATAAGTGGAAGCTAGAAAAGCCTTTGAGCTTGCCTTCTCTTGCTGGGAACTCTAATCACCAACAAAACAAGGAACCAAGGTTAGCCTGCTGGATGAAAGAGAAGTGCCTGATGCTCCAACTGACATGAAGCCAACTACAAGACATATATGAGATTCCCGCTCACCCCACAAGACCAATCGGCATGGCAATCACAGAATGTGGGAACAAGGCTAACCTAGACCATCCAGTTTCAGCCAAGTCAATACAGATCAACAAAACTACCTAGCTAGCATGCTCGTTAAGAGTCATCACCACTCCCTAATCTCAAGTACCCAGGGACACAAACACTGCGGAAGGCTGCAGGATCCTCTGCCTAGGAAAACCAGAGACCTTTGTTCACTTGTTTATCTGCTGACCTTCCCTCCACTATTGTCCTATGACCCTGCCAAATCCCCCTCTGCAAGAAACACCCAAGAATGATCAATAAAAAAAAAAAAAATAAATAAATAAAAAATAAACAAAAAATGTAAAACTAAAAAAAAATAAAACACACACACACACACACACAAAACTACCTAGCTAACCAGAGAACTGTGAGAAATGATAAATGGCTGTTGTTTCATTTTTTCTTTTTTTATAAAACAAAGTCTTGCTTTGTCACTCACGCTGGAGTGCAATTGCTCAATCAGAGCTCACTGCAGCCTCGACCTCCTGGGCTCAAGTGATCCTTCCACCTCAGCTTCCCTGGTAGCTGGGACTATAGAAGCATGCCACCACGACCACCTAATTTTCTTCTGCACAGAGATGGAGTCTCGCTATGTTGCCCAGACTGGTCTTGAACTCCTGGGCTCAGGTGATCCTCCCGCCTCGGCCTCCCAAAAGTGCTGGGATTACAGGCATGAGCCACCATGCCTGGCTGGCTATTGTTGTAAGCCACTAAGTTTTGAGGGATGTTTTCTTACACAGCAAAACCAACCCATACAGAGCTCTATCTTAGACTCACCTCTACTCTTTTCCTGTATGCTCTCCTCAGGTGACTCCTATGGTTTTTAAATACCATCTTTACACTCACAACTCTTACATTAATGAAAACTGTTCTGAACTACAAGTTCATACTCCCAATTTGCCAGTGCCATTTAAGTCCCACAGGCCTCTCAAAGTCTTGTCTTTAAGTTCTCCCAGATTTTCACATCTCAGTAATGATATCCACAGTACAAATAAAAAAAATTGAGGAGGGGGGGTGCTGAATGTCATCCACATCCACAATGCTACCCTTTTCTTTATACCCTATAATGACCAGTATTATTGATTTTATTTTCACTTACATTCATCCAATTTTCAAAATCATCATTAACAATCCTACTGTAAGTAATCATCACTTTCCTTCCAGGACTAATATATAAACCTTTCAATTGGTCTCCTCCTAGCTTCTATTCCAGTCACCCTATATTTATGATCTATTTAAAAGCCAAATAAAACTTTTAAAAAATCATGAAACATCTGCTAAAAACCCTTCAATAGACTCCCATTGAAAAAATTAAATCCATACTCCTTACAGTGGCCTACAAGGTCCTGAATAATCTGCCCCTGCTTATCTCTCCACCTTCAAAACTATATCCCCTTACACATTATTCTCCACACCAATCTGCTTCTAGTTTGTGTCATATGCCAACTTCAAAGCCTATACTGACATGTTCCTTCTACAATACGTCTTTCTAATAATCATTTGAATAGCTGACTCACGTCCATCAGATATCACCCTTCAGAAAGGCCCCATACTCCCTCTGTATCACACTAACTTACTTGCATAGCATTCATCACTATCTGATTCTTTGCCTGATACTGTCTCCCAAAAGTTGAGTAGTGCTGTGAAAAAGGGAACACTCAAACCTTTGCAAATGAGAAAAAAAGTACAATACTGTCATAAATGTTATCAAGAAATAAAATATGCAGAATCCTGACAGTTCATACTTTAATTCTAATCAGTACAACCCTTTCTCCATCTTCTTAGGCTTCCTTTTTAAGTTGAGACTTATAAAATTCAAATGTCACCTCTCGTTCAATGAGACCTTTCCTGTCCCCATAAACTGTAACCCACCCCCTAGAACTCTCAAGCCACCTTTGCTGCTATTTATCCTATAATACTTATCACTTTCTGATGTAGTATTATCATTTACTTCTTTTGTAAACAGACTGCACAAGAGCAGAGATTTTTGCAATTTGTTTTCTTCTCTGCTATATCCTCAGTGCCTAGAACGTAACAGACACTTACTGTGTATTTGCTGACTAAATACAGTGGAATAACCATTATTAATCTCTTTAATTCTTTACATACTCATGTAAAAAAAAGTCCAACATAATTTACTAAAAAGTAACCATTAAATATAAATCCATATATGTGCATAAAAAACACTATATACCAAACTGTTACTTGAAATTTTCTCTAGAGGATATGACTATAGGGGACTTTCAAACAATATAATTCTATATTATAAATTGTTTAAATATATTACACTGATAATCGGGGGTAAAGAAATTTTATAAACTTACCTAATAACATAGGTCCTAAAAGGTATAATGTGCTGCATGACAGCGGGAATATGTAGCCATATTCTAATCTATATAAGAAACATAAAAACAACATTAATGCCTAATATGTGAAATACATATATCTTTCACTAAACTAATGAAAAACAAGAGCATTGGCCAGGCACGGTCGCTCACGCCTGTAATCCCAGCACTTTGGGAGGCTGAGGTGGGCAGATCCGAAGGTCAGGAGTTTGAGATCAGCCTGGCCAACACAGTAAAACCCCGTATCTACTAAAAACACAAAAATTAGCCGGGCATGGTGGCGCGCACCTGTAGTCCCAGCTACTTGAGAGGCTGAGGCAGGAGAATCGCTTGAACCCCCACCCCCGGGGGGGGCGGGGGGAAGAGGATGTGGTGAGCCGAGATTGTGCCACTGCACTCCAGCCTGGGCAACGGAGCGAGACTCCGTCTCAAATAAAAAACAAAACAAAAACGAGGATCATTTAGTATTCTGCTGCCTCTATAATTACATATATTATCAATTATGAAAAGAGTATAGTACAAAACAGAATTACACATGTATCAGGAAATTTAACCTATATATTATATATCTTATTTTACATGAAGTCTGTCTGAAAAATTAATCTTAGCTTCTTGCTGAAAAGACAAAACCATCTCTCAAAGTAATATTTCCTTACCAAATAATTCTCTATACCTCTTTGTACGGTAGCATCCCCAATACAAGGCACTGTATTAGTTTTTTAATAAACCGTATTAGTTTTTAACTAATCATCTCATCATTCCTTCCTAAAATATTTCAAATTACCCATAATTTCTAGTCATTTCAGTATCTGAAGCAAATATATTTTACAGTCACACACTGATTACAATATCAACAAGTACTTACTAAGTTTACTATAAGTAACTTACAGCTCGACTGAGTTATAATAAAAGTTACAATAAATATATTTCCTCATTTTTTCTACACAATATTTTAACATTTATAAATCAAATGTGAATACATTATATAACAGTTTTATTTTCAAAAATAGTAAGAATAAAAATCCTAACCCAACCAATCAAACAAAAAACTCTGATACTGAGTCTTGACACAGGCAGGAGATACAAATTAAAAAATCTGGACAGGCGCGGTGGCTCATGCCTATAATCCCAGCACTCTGGGAGATCGTGGCAGGTGGATCACTTGAGGTCAGGAGTTCAAGACCAGCCTGGGCAACATGGCTGAAACCCCATCTCTACCAAAAAAATACAAAAATAAGCCAGGCATGGTGTCACATGTCTGCAGTCCCAGCACTCTGGGAGGTTGAGGTGGGAGATTCGCTTGAACCCAGGAGGTGGAAGTCTCAGTGAGCCAGGATCGCGTCACTGTACTCCACCCTGGACAACACAGCAAGACCATGTCTCAAAACAAAAAAAATTAAAAAATAAAATACATGAATTTGGGAATTCAGAATGTAGGGATTCACTATAATCAAATAAAAGACGTCTATAAAAACCCTGTAGTAAATACTACGTTAATGATGAAATGTTAAAAACTTTGCCTCCTGAGACTAGGAACAAGACAAGGAAGCCTCAATTCCACTTGAACTGAAGGACCTAGACAATATAAGTTAAGAAACTAAATAAAAGGCAAAGGACTAGAAAGAAGAATTTAAAATAATACTCTGAGATAATATAATTATATAATTAGGAAACCCAAAATAATTATCAGATAAACACTGAAACTAAAGAGTTTAGCAAAACTGCTGCTAGGTTAATATAAACAAATATGCACACACCTATCTATACATACACACAACACCCTATATATGTTCTTTTCTTATTATTTGTTCCTGAGAACAAATAATACAGTTTTCAAAACGATTCCCTTAAGAACAGTATCAAAAATATCATGTGTCTAGGAGTAATCTAACAAGATACACACCTCTACATAAAAAGTTGGAAAATAATCAATTAAACAACATGTAAATAAGGAGACATTTGCCATATTTATTGTGAAGATAATAGTTCTCCCGAAATTCATCTATAGATTCAGTACAATCCAAAAAGGTTTACATGCAGAACTTATGAAACTCATTCAAAGCACAAAGGTCCAAGAATAGCTAAAACTCTCTAAGAAATACGACAAGGAGGCCAGGCGCGGTGGCTCACATCTCACTTTGGGAGGCCGAGGCGGGCGGATCACGAGGTCAGGAGATCGAGACCATCCTGGCTAACATGGTGAAACCCCATCTCTACTAAAAATACAAAAAACTTAGCCGGACGTGGTGGCGGGCGCCTGTAGTCCCAGCTACTTGGGAGGCTGAGGCAGGAGAATGGCGTGAACCTGGGAGGCGGAGCTTGCAGTGAGCCAAGATCATGCCACTGCACTCCAGCCTGGGCAACAAAGCAAGACTCTGTCTCAAAAAAAAAAAAAAAAAAAAAAAGAAATACGACAAGGAGAAGCTGGGTGCAGTGACTCAGGCCTGTAATCCTAGCACTTCAGGAGGCCGAGGTGGGCAGATCACCTGAGGTCAGGAGTTCAAGACCAGCTTGGCCAACATGGTGAAACTGTTTCTACTGAAAACACAAAAACAAATGAGCCAGGTGTGGTGACGCGCACCTGTAATCCCAGCTACTTGGGATGCTGAGACAGGAGAATCACTTGAACCCCAGGAGGTGGAGGTTGCAGTAAGCTGAGATCGTCCCACTGCACTCCAGCCTAGGTGACAAAGTGAGACTCTGTCTCCAAAAAAAAAAAAAAAAAGAAATATGACAGGGAGGTAGTACTTGCTTTCCCAGAGAGCAAGACTTCTTGTAAAGCTTCAGTAATTAAGTCAGTAGGCAAAACAGCACAAAATTAGGCAAATAGAATGGTATACTATGCCAAAGAGCCCAAACCCATGCACATAAAAACATCCGATTTGGCTCATTGTAGTGATGAGGCATGAGTCACCTGTAACCAATACTTTTGGAGGCCAAGATGGAAGGATCACTTCAGGCCACTTCAGGCCAGGAGTTCAACACTAACCTGTGCAACAAAAGTAGAACTACAGAACAAAGAAGAAATGACTGTCTTTGTGACAGTGTTAGGAACACTGGATATCTGTATGAAAAAGAAAATGAATCTTAATCCCTCCTGAAACTATAAATAAAAATGTATTGCAGTTGAATAGATCAAAATATGAAAGGTAAAGCAATAATACTTGTTTCCTGATCAAGGTAAGCAAGAAAAAATTTTTCAAAAAAAACAACAACTTTGGCCGGGCACGGTGGCTCACACCTGTAATCCCAGCACTTTGGGGAGCCGAGGCAGATGGATCACAAGCTCAGGAGATCGAGACCATCCTGGCCAACATGGTGAAACCCCATCTATACTAAAAATACAAAAAATTAGCTGGGCGTGGTGGCAAGTGCCTGCAGTCTCGGCTACTTAGGAGACTGAGGCAGGAGAATCGCTTGAACCCAGGAGGTGGATGTTGCAGTGAGCTGAGATCAAGCCACTGCACTCCAGCCTGGCAACAGAGCGAGACTCCATCTAAAAAGAAACAAACAAAAAAAACTTTGTAAGTATCTTCATGGCCTTAGAGTTAAAAATGACTTTTTCAACCAAAAATGAAAACCTTAACCATAAAGAAAAATGACAAACTGTACAACATGAAGCTTGATGAATAATATTTCTTCAACACAACAGTGAAAAGCAACACGAGAGTGGAAGATATTGGCAATACATATATCAAACAAAACACTTCTACCTAAAAAGACGTCTATCTAAAACACACAAGGAAATTCTAAACATCAGCAAGAAAAAGACAATCCAATTTTGCAAATGGGCGAGAGATTTAAACAGGTACTTCGCAAAAAAAATCCAAATAAGTAATATGCCTATGAAAAGGTGCTGATTCTCATTAGTCGTTAGAAATATATAACAGGCCAGGTGCAGTGGCTCACCCCTGTAATCAAAGCACTTTGGGAGGCTGAGGCAGTCAGATCACTTTGAGGTCAGGAGTTCGAGACCAAGCTGGCCAAACATAGTGAAATCCCATCTCTACTAAAAGTACAAAAAATTTAGCCAGGCTTGGTAGTAGGTTCCTGCAATCCCAGCTACTTGGAAAGCTGAGGCAGGAGAATCGCTTGAACCCAGGAGGTGGAGACTGCAGTGAGCCAAGATCGCACCACTGCACTACATCCTGGGCAACAGAGCAAGACTCTATCTCAAAAAAACAACAACAAAAGTGTGTGTGTGAGTGTATATATATGTATGTATGTATATATATTTATATATACACACATATATAAAATATATATATTTATATATACACACATATATAAAATATATATATTTATATATACACACATATATAAAATATATATTTTTACATATACACACATATATAAAAATATATATTTTACATATGCACACATGTAAAAATATATTTTTACATATACACACATGTAAAAATATATTTTTACGTATACACACATGTAAAAATATATTTTTACGTATACACACATGTAAAATATATTTTTACGTATACACACATGTAAAAATATATTTTACGTATACACACATGTAAAAATATATTTTTACGTATACACACATGTAAAAATATATATTTTTACGTATACGCATATGTAAAAATATATTTTTATATATAAGCATATGTAAAAATATATTTATACACACACACACACACACACACACACACACATATATATATATAAATATAAAAAAAAGGCCAGGTGGAGTGGCTCATGCCTGTAATCCCAGGACTTTGGAAGGCCAAGGATGGAGGATGCTTGAGCTCAGGAGTTTGAGATCAGCCAGGACAATATGGCAAAACCCCACATCTGCTTAGCGGGGCATGGTGGCACACACCAGCTATGCAAGAGGCTGAGGTGGGAAGATCGCCTGAGCCCAGGAAGTGGAGGTTGCAACGAATTGAGATCACCCCAATGCGCTCTGGCCTGGGTGACAAGAGTAAGACACTGTCTCAAAAAATAATAAAATCACAATGAGCTACTACTATAAATCCATTAGAAATCTATAAAAAACCAAGTCAACACTTGGCAAGGATATGCAACTAGGGGAACTCTCACAGACCTGACAGAAGTATAAATTAATACAACCACCTAAGGAAACCATAGGTTTAACACCCAAGTTTGAAAATATGCATACTCGAGGGGATGTGGGGGTACAGGGGAGTTTAAAAAAAAAAAAAAAAAAGATTGGGCATGGTGGCTCACACCTGTAATTTCAGCACTTTGGGAGGCCGATGCAGGCGGATCATGAGGTCAGGAGATCGAGACCATCCTAGCTAACACGGTGAAACCCTGCCTCTACTAAAAATACAAAAAATTAGCCAGGCATGGTGGTGGGCGCCTGTAGCCCCAGCTACTCAGGAGGCTGATGCAAGAGAATGGTGTGAACCCGCGAGGCAGAGCTTGCAGTGAGCTGAGATCACGCCACTGCACTCCAGCCTGGGCGACAGAGCAAGACTCCATCTCAGAAAAAGAATATATATATATATATATATGTACACACACACACACACAAACACCCTGATAAGACATTTACTTCTAGATATACATCCAAATTAAATGCACACACATGTTCACCAAAACACACATAGAAGAATGCTGACACCCATATGAACTGTAATAACCTAAATGTCCATCACCAGTAAAATAAATTGGTATATTTTAAAAGATAATTCAACAATAAAAATGAACATACATGCAATATAAATTTCGGCATTTAAAAAAAACAACCAGGCATGAAAGAATGCATAGTATGTGATTCCATCTGCATGGTGAAAACAGACAAAACCAAATTGTAGTGTTTAGGGATATAAGATTAGGTGATAAAACTTTGTTTAAAAAAAGCAGGAGAATGATCAGCATTAAAGGATGAATTGTGTTTATTTTTAAAGGAGAAGAGATGGAATAGTTAGTGGCCTGAGGACTCATAAGGTAGGCTTCTGGGGAGTTGACAATGTTCTGTTTCTTGGTTTGAGTGATGGTTAAACGAATATTTGCTTTGATAAATCACTGAGCCACATGTTATCACTTTGTGTACGTTTCTTTATGAATGTTATTTTTCAAATTTTAACAGAAGGTTAAAAATCCTATTTTATACAAGATACATCAGAGGGCATAGTTATATCTTTTATTTTAGAATACACAGACACAAGTGATTAAAAATTTCAATTAAAAAACAGCAAATGAAGAAAAATGTCAATACAAGAAAAAATTTTAATACAAGGAAGATCTACCATTTACTAAGTCCTTAATATTCCCATTGTGATAAATGAGAAAAGTAATGCTTATAAAAGTAATGAAAACAAAATTACATACTATGCAACAGAGGTACAATTCAAACCTAGGATTATATCATTATAAAAATCAGCATTCTTTAACACTACTATAGATCCCAACATCATAAAAACCAAATTGCATATGCTATTAATCCTACAGTGTGTCCTTTATCATTTTTTTTTAAGTTTTGAGCTTTTCAGGTTTCCTTCTCCCCACCCCCTGCTTAGTGCTAATGGAATTCTAGCAGCCCTCCTAACCTTTTAACCTAGGTTAAAACTCTCAGAAATAGGGAAAAAAAGAAAAAAAAAGTTCCTTGCTCCCTGTAACTGCAGAAAAACAGCGTTCTGCATCAAACCTAGTTCTGACAAAGTGCAAAGTGGCATCATGAAAACTTAATTTCCTATTCTCCTATCTAGTAAAGAGATATCAAAAAATATGTAATCCTACCCTAGTTTCTGATATTAAACAGTCTTTGCTAGTATATTTGTAAAAAGCAGTCTTAGGACACTGAACATTCAGAAATTGCTATTGTGTTCCCCTATACGTTACTTAAGCCCTACAAGCTTATACCTTTGACTAAAGCATATTTTGTGTGAAGTTCTTTTTATTAATCCTCATTTGCACTTCTTTCTACTCCATAATAAAATAAACCCCTTGTCTCTATTGGATTCTTTATAAATTAATAAAAGGTGTTATGTATGAAATGACAAACTCTGGCAAAGAGCTGAGGGCTGAGGAAGGATACTGTAAGCTAAAACCAAGTGTAACTCAACAAAAGTGAGATTAACTTCCATTTGGGTCTCAGTGGAGAAACTTGTATGCCTCCATGTTCTATTTCTCTAAGCTGTGTTAAATGTTAGTAAGCTGCATTCGCAAAGTAAGAAAACTACATAAAAAGCTGCATTTGCAAAGTAAGAAAACTACATAAAGATCTTTGTTGTTTTCTTGTGGGTGCAGCTGTTATTAAAGAACGGATCCATATAATAGGTGGAATAATATTTGTGCAAACTGAGAAATCTCCTAAAACTCAGAGCTAGTTAAGAACTGCTGAAGTTCTAGTTAAGAATCTGCTAAAGTTTTTGAGATTGAAACAAATGTATGGGCTTGACGTTATTATCAGATTTGAACCTTAATCTGATAAGGTAAGAATTTCCTTTCTTTGTTGATAATTCAAATCCAGAGAAGAGTGAGTTTTCCTGAGATGAAATTTCAGGATTCTAGATTCAGGTTCTGAAAAAAAAAACTCACCAGCCAGGCGCAGTGGCTCACACCTGTAATCCCAGCACTCTGGGAGGCTGAGGTGGGGGCATCGCAAGGTCAAGAGATTGAGACCATCCTGGCCAACATGGTGAAACCCCATCTCTACTAAAAATACAAAAATTAGCTGGGCATGGTGGTGCGTGCCTGTAGTCCCAGCTACTCGGGAAGCTAAGGCAGGAGAATCGCTTGAATCTGGGAGGCGGAGGCTGAGGTGAGCAGGGATCATACCACTGCACTCCAGCCTGGTGACAGAGCGAGACTCCAGCTCAAAAAAAAAACGAAAAAATAACACTCACCATCTGACAAAGTTACCTTGCCTCAGTAAGAGTGAGGAAATCAGCCAGGTGCAATGGCACACACCTGTAATCCCAGCACTTTAGGAGGCCAAGGCGGGCGGATCATTTGAGCCCAGGAGTTCAAGACCAGCCTGGGGAACATGGTGAAACACTACCTCTACCAGAAACACAAAAATTAGCCAGTCTCAAAATAAATATATAGCTTTTTCTTTAAGTGAGGAGGAAATCATACTAGAAAATAAACAGAATGGGATCATTTCCTGAGTCCCAGGAAATGCTATAAACATGTTCTCTTCTGAATGTGTGATTTAGTATAATAGAGAAAAAGAAGTATTCAGTAACGTTAGTCCGTATCTTTCCTGCCACAAAAGTGATTTATGAGTTATTTTCTTTTCTTTACAAACGGCTGCCCTAAAATCTAATACTATTTTTTTCATTGTTAAATATAGTTCTACTCATTCCTGTGAAATTCAGAGATTCCCAAATAGAGACCTCACCCTATTGAAGCCAAAACACCATGGCTAAACAAGCTGCCCACTTCGCAAGAAAAGGAATAGACATACAAAAATGATCAGGGTTTATACAATGACCCACTAGAGGAAATTACTATGAAATAAATAAAGCACAGCTTCTGTAGCAAGCTTGATTACAAAAAGAACTCTAAGCTCTTAATGTACACTAAAATATTAACCATATAAAAGAAATTAGCTTGCAGAGAGCCAATCTACAATATTTTTTATAAGGAAAAGATGCCTATTAAAGAGTTACTCCATTGAGTTATTATTCTCAGAAAATTAACAAACAGATTATATAGTATTATAGTATTACGGTGTTCAAAAAATATATTAATTTAAATAGTATAATTTTGCTTTAACGGCCTCAGTTGAGTTGCAAGATAAAGAAAACTATGCAGATTGACAACAGCCCACCAATTAGCAGTCATAAAAGGGCTGAAGAGAAAGATAAAACAGAATCTAAGCCTAAACCTTTGTATTTAGTAAAGGATAACTTCACAGGTTGGGCAACAGCGTAACCCCATCTCTACAAAAACAATTTTTAATTTAGCCAGGCGTGGTGACATGCACCTTTAGTCCCAGGTACTTGGGAGGCTGACATGGGAGGGAGGTTTGCTTGAGCCTGGGAGATCAAGGCTGCAGTCAGCTGCTACTACCGCACAGCAGAACTCTCTCTCAAAAACAAAAACAAAACAAAGGCCGGGTGCGGTGGCTCAAGCCTGCAAGCCTGTAATCCCAGCACTTTGGGAGGCCGAGGTGGGCGGATCACAGGAGGTCAGGAGTTCGAGACCAGCCTGGACAACATGGCGAAACCCCGGGTCTACTAAAAATACAAAAATTAGCTGGGTGTGGTAGCGTGCACTAGTTATCCCAGCTACTAGGGAGGCTGAGGCAGGACAACTGCTTGAACCCAGGAGGTGGATGCTGCAGTGAGCCAAGATGGTGCCACTGCACTCTAGCCTGGGTGACGGAGTGAGACTCTGTCTCAAAAAAACGGATAAAGTAAGGAAGAAAAAACCCTGTAAACGATAACTTTTAAAGATATAGTAATAAAGTCTTTAACAAGCTTTCCATACTAGACTGTTAAACAAGAATTAGTACAAATAAATTCAAGAAACAGTTTAATCCAGGTTTATGTAATATTCCTGATTAAGTAAACCCTTTGATAATTTGGTGTTTCAAAATTATATGCCCTCTCCAAAATTACCACAGTGTGAAATAAAAATGTTATCCCAGCATTCCAGTTAACTAAATTGAGATACTTTCTCTCAGAGAATGCCAAAGTACATAAAACTTTCTATCAAACAAATAAGTTCAATCAGAATAACAGGATCACTTAGGTATTTAGTAACAACCGAAGTTAGTAAAAGCCACCAGTTACTACACACTTTATATGTCAAGTGTTACATTATGAGTTTAAAATCTTTCTCATTTTAAACCTCAAAACAATCCTCTAAAGTAGATGGATATCATCATCATTCCCATTTTGCAAATTAAAAAAATTAAGGCTCAGATCACGCAAAGTGGCTCACGCCTGTAATCCCAGCACTTTAGGAGGCTGAGGCAGGAGGATCACCTGAGGTTAGGAGTTTGAGACCAGCCTAGCCAACATGGTGAAACCCAATCTCTATTAAAAATACAAAAATTAACCAGGCATGGTGGCATACGCCTGTAGTCCCAACTACTCGGGAGGCTGAGGCAGGAGAATCACTTAAATCTGGGAGACGGAGGTTGCAGTGAGCCAAGATCATGCCACTGCACTCCAGCCTGGGCAACAGAGCCAGACTCCGTCTAAAAAAAAAAAAAAAAAGGCAACATTATTAACCTACATGCTACACTACTACTATATGTAATAATTTCAACCTATCAGAATGGGTGGAATTTTTTAACTAAAAATGACCTTGATAGTAATCATTTATTACCAATTTTAGTAATGTCAGTGCTGTTTCCAATGTACCGCATCACTGCAAAGCACACAGCATTGGAAACAATGCAACAAAATATTTGGTTGAGTCACTTTTCACCCAATATTTTTATTTTATAGATAATTTAAATATCTGATATTAGCTATTAATTAAGGTAATTCCATTACACAAGATTTCAGTGTTTGGTAAAGGTACACTGAACTTTTGCTTTACCAATTTTTTAAATTATGACCAGAATAGGTTATTAAAGAATGAATTTTAATATACAGGTATTTAAAAGTATCTTTCTTTCCGGGCCGGGCACAGTCGCTCACGCCTGTAATCTCAGCACTTTGGGAGGCCAAGGTGGGTGGATCATGAGGTCAGGAGTTTGAGACCAGCCTGGCCAACATGTACTCAAAATACAGAAATTAGCCGGGCATGGTGGTTCGTGCCTGTAGTCCCAGCTACTTGGGAGGCTGAGGCAGAAGAATCGCTTGAACCCAGGAGGCGGAGGGTGCAGTGAGCTGAGACTGCACCACTGCACTCCAGCCTGGGGAACAAAGTGAGACTCCGTGTCAAAAAAATAAATAAAAGTATCTTTCTTTCCATATCCACTGTGCTTCACAGTGAAACTGATACTCACAGGATACAGAAGAATTACCTTATTTTCAAAGGCAAGAAGAAATGTTACAATCTTCATGTGTAAGAGAATTCAGGCATACTATAATAGTAACCTAGGCAAGCATCATTTAAAGTAACCAATAACCTAAAAAGTCAAAAATTTCCCAGGACAGAATCCCAGGAAGATCAAGTTTAAAATGGCCTGGGCAACATGGTAAAACTCTGTCTCTAAAAAAAGTACAAAAATTCAGCCAGGCACAGTGGTGCACACCTCTAGTCCCAGCTACTCAGGAGGGTGAGGTGGGAGGATCACCTGAGCCCAGGAGGTAGAAGCTACAGCCTAAACAACGGAGTGAGACCCTCTCTCTCAAAAAAAAAAAAAAAAAAAAAAAAATAAGTTAAAAAATGAAAATTAGCAAAAGTTTTATGCAGTCACCTATCTTAGATAAAATAGATAATTATAGATAGTCATGACCCCTTTTAGCTTTAAAACAGGTAACTTAATTTTATTCAAATTCTAATCTTAATAATAAAGATCGTTAAAACGTTTCTGTACTCATTTTGTCAAAATAAAAAAAAATTACACATGCAAATCATTCAAAACCTTCCTTTTCAGAGCATAAAATTCATGTTACTGATATGCTAGACATTGCTCCCAAAATTAAGATCAATTCAAAACAATACTTACATTAGACACAACTGTAATAAACGCATGTGCTATAAGAAATGGCAAAGTTTCAGGAGTTCCATATTCAAAGCAATCCTTCATGAGAGAAAGGCCATTTTTCCCACAAAACAAACATACATAACGAAGCAAATGCAATGGTACTTCTACATCCTGGGAAAATAAAGAAAACATGTCATTATTTGAAAACGTACAAATAATTTTTATCTTAGCAATACTGGAAAGATACTGATGAGAAACTCAAAAGACATATATAAATAATAAAACATATGGATGAGGCTTTGTTAAAAAAATAAAATTTTCCATAAAAGAATAAAAAAGGTAAACACTTACATTCATATCACAGAATGCCCCTAATATGTTACTTTCTTGAGTTGATATATCCTAATTAAAAAAAAAAAAGCAAGTAAAATTAGGTTACAACTACTAACCTTTAAAAAATACAATTCTATAAAAGACTGATTTTATAAAAACCGAATAAACAGATTATTTTGCAATTACTCCTGATAAGCAGTGATACTCCTAACTGAAGCTAATAGGATTCAGCTCTAAGGTGTATTTTAGTCCTCCTTTAAGTAGAAGCCATTCCACAGTACATACTACACACTATTTTGCCTTATTAAACATTAAGTAATCTTGCCTTAAAAAAATCAATGTTTAAAATCCCGGCCGGACGCGGTGGCTCACGCCTGTAATCCCAGCACTTTGGGAGGCCGAGGCGGGCGGATCACGAGGTCAGGAGATCGAGACCACGGTGAAACCCCGTCTCTACTAAAAATACAAAAAATTAGCCGGGCGCAGTGGCGGGCGCCTGTAGTCCCAGCTACTCGGGAGGCTGAGGCAGGAGAATGGCGTGAACCCGGAAGGCGGAGCTTGCAGTGAGCGGAGATCGCGCCACAGCACTCCCGCCTGGGCGACAGAACGAGACTCCGTCTCAAAAAAAAAAAAAAAAAAAAAAAAAATCCCAGCACTTTGGGAGGCCGAGGCGGGTGGATCACCTGAGGTCAGGAGATCAAGATCAGCCTGACCAACATGGTAAAACCTTGTCTCTACGAAAAATAAAAAAATTGTCAGTGTGGTGGTGGGCACTTGTAATACTCAGGAGGCTGAGGCATGAGAATGGCTTGAACCTGGGAGGCAGAGGTTGCAGTGAGCTGAAATCACGCCATTACACTCCATCCTGGGTGACAGAGCAAAACTGTCTCAAAAAAAAAAAAAAAGGTTTAAAATAAAACTCAAGGTAATTCTGATAAAAATACATGATAGTTAAGTGGTTTTTGTTTTGAAAAGTTTCTCAACAAACTTTTTCATGATTTTTGAAACTGCTTTGGAATTCCCTAGAGGTATACTGAAGAGTTACACGTGCTTCCATTGCATAAGATTTCAACTGCCTAAAAGCACAGTTATCCATTGTTGGTGAGTATAAGTTCGTATGAACTTTTTGGAAGGCTATTTGGCAATATCCTTCAATATTTAAAATACACATTGCCTTTGACCCAGCAATTCTAGCTTTTTGTTCTAAGGAACTAATCATACTAGTACTGGAAAATATACGCATAACGATGCTCATTAACCCACAATTAGAAACAACTGACATCCATCAATTTGATGGCTAAATGAATGGCATAACCATTCCAGCTAATTTTTTTTTTTTTTTTAGACGGAGTCTCGCACTGTCGCTCAGGCTGGAGTGCAGGAGCATGATCTCGGATCACTGCAAGCTCTGCCTCCTGGGTTCACGCCATTCTCCTGCCTCAGCCTCCAGAGTAGCCGGGATTACAGGCGCCCACCACCATGCCCGGCTAATTTTTTGTATTTTTAGTAGAGACAGGGTTTCACCGTGTTAGCCAGGATGGTCTCGATCTCCTGACCTCATGATCCACCCGCCTCGGCCTCCCAAAGTGCTGGGATTACAGGCATGAGCCACCTCGCCCAGTCCTAACTCTTAAAAATAATAAGGTGAAAAAGGCATGAGGGATCTTTGGGGGATGATGGAAATACTCTAAAATTAGAAAGTGATGATGGCTGCACAACTCTGTAAATCTACTGAAAATAAACTGTATACTTTAATCAAGTGATTTTTAAGGTTACATCTTTAAAATGCTGTCTGAAAATAAGGTAGAATCTTACATACAGACAAAACACCTGTTACATTTCTGAAAGAAAATTTATGATCATGATCTGATGTTCATAATTTTTACGTTTGGAAATATCTCAACTTTTTTTGAGAAGAGAATGAAGAAAAAAGAGAAGTTCAAAGGCCTTTCAAAGTCTGTATTTTGTATATTCTGTATTTAATTTTTCACACTGAGGCCGGGCATGGTGGCTCACATATGTAATCCCAGCACTTTGGGAGGCCAAGGTGGGCAGATCATTTGAGGTCAAGAGTTCTAGACCAGTCTGGCCAACATACTGAAACCCTGTCTCTACTAAAAATACAAAAATTAGCCAGGTGTGATGGTAGGCACCTGTAATCCCAGCTACTTGGGAGGCTGATGCAGGAGAACTGCTTGAACCCAGGAGGTGGAGGTCGCAGTGAGTCACGATTGCACCACTGCACTCCAGCCTGGGAGACAAAATGAGGCTCCATCTAAAAAAAAAAAAAAAAAAATTCACGCTGAAAAGACTGCTTTTGGCCAGGCCCGGTGGCTCACACTTAGAATCCCAGCACTTTGGGAGGCCAAGGCCGGCGAATCACTTGAGGTCAGGAGTTCAAAACCAGCCTGGCCAACATGGTGAAACCGCGTCTCTACTAAAAATACAAAAACTGGCTGTGTGCAATGGCTCACGCCTGTAATCCCAGCACTTTCAGAGGCCGAGGTGGGCGGATCATGATGTCAGGAGATCAAGACCATCCTGGACAACATGGTGAAACCCCATCTCTATTAAAAATACACAAATTAGCTGGGCGTGGTGGCACACACCTGTAGTCCCAGCTCCTCGGGAGGCTGAGGCAGTAGAACTGCCTGAACCCAGGAGACGGAGGCTGCAGTGAGCTGAGATCGTGCCACTGAACTCCAGTCTGGGTGACAAAGCAAGACTTCATCTCAAAGAAAAAAAAAAAGAAATTAACCAGGGGTGATGGCACACGCCTGTAATCCCAGCTGCTCAGCAGACTAAGGCACAAGAATCACTTGAACCCGCTTGGGGGAGGGGGGTTGCAGTGAGTCAAGATTGTACCAATGCACTCTAGCTTGGGCAACAGAGCGAGACTCCGCCTCCAAAAAAAAAGATTGCTTTTAGGTTGAGTGCAGTGGCTCACACCTATAATCCCAGCACTGTGGGAGGCTGACTGCTTGAACCCAGGAGTTCAAGACTAGCCTCGTACTCACGGGCGAGACCCAATCTCTATTAAAAATTTTTAAAAATTAGCCAGGCATGGTGGTGCGTGTCTGTTGTCCCAGATACTCAGGAGGCTGAGGCGGGAGGATTGCATGAACTTGGGAGGTCTAGGCTGCAATGAGCCATGTTCATGCCACTGCACTCGATCATGAGTGACAGAGTGAGACCTGGTGAAAGAGAAGGAGGAGAGAGATGGGGGAGGACAGAAAGAGAGGGAGAGAAGGGGGGTGAAAGGGTAAGGGAGGAGGAGGGGAAAGTGGGGGAAGGACGGAGAAGCGGGGGAAGGAGGCGGAAGCGGGGGAAGGAGGCGGAAGCAGGGGAAGGAGGCGGAAGCGGGGAAGGAGGCGGAAGCGGGGGAAGGAGGCGGAAGCGGGAAGAGGGGAAAGTCGGGGGAGGGAGAAAGGGGAGGGAGAAAAGGGAAGGAGAAAGAGGGAGGAGAGAGAAAATAACTGCTTTTATGATCAGAAAGCTAGCTAGAAACTTTCATCTGAAAAAAGCTACCAAAGAAACCCATTCATCATTGCCATCACCTATTTTAGATATTTAAGTTACACTGCTGAAATAAAGTCTGAAAATCATGGATTGAAAGCAATCATACAGAACTCAGAACATTTCAAAATAAACAAAAAATGTCCTTAGAGAAATGAAGTCTCAAAGTAAGTGTTAAACCTCCTAAATCCACTCCTGGCTATGACAACCGGGGCCAGAGGTGAAGCTTTATGTTAATCTCAACGAACTTTTTCATGGTCTTCAAAAAGTCCAGAATTTAAGACCTCCTGTGGTATTGTTAAATACAGAATCATGGACCAGGTGAACCATGCTAGAATCTTAGAGCCACGATTTCTAGTGCCTAACATGGGCACAGCTAAAAAATCTCCTAACGGCCGGTGCAGTGGCTCATGCCTGTAATCCCAACACTTTGAGAGGCCTAGGTAGGTGGATCACGAGGTCAGGAGTTCAAGACCAGCCTAACATGGTCTCTACTAAAACTACAAAAATTAGCTGGGTGTCGTGACGCATGCCTGTAATCCCAGCTACTCAGGAGGTTTCAGCCTCCTGAGAATTGCTTGAATCCCGGAAGGCGAAGGTTGCAGTGAGCTGTTATCATGCCACCGCACTCCAGCCTGGGCAACAGGATCAAAACTCCGTCTCAAAAAAAAAAAAAAAAATTGAGTTCTATCCTGGTATGCAGTGTTACTCAGATTTGATTACATCTATTTTGGTGATTCAGGGGAACTGTTTTGCCACTCTATTTCCAATATGAATACATAAAGCTAGCATCCTAAAATGTTATAATCTCATTTTTTAAGTAGTATATAAAAAATTAACACACATCTATAGGTTAAAAAAAACACTAAGAACAACACTAGGAAGTCTCATTAAAAGACGAATTAACGGTCCCGGGCGCGGTGGCTCATGCCTGTAATTCCCAGCACTTTGGGAGGCTGAGGCAGACGGATCACGAGGCCAAGAGTTGGAGATCACCCTGTCCAACACAGTGAAACCTCGTCTCTACTAAAAACACAAAAAAATTAGCCAGGCGTGGTGGCGGGCGCCTGTAATCCCAACTACTCGGGACGCTGAGGCCGGTGAATCGCTTGAACCTGAGAGGCAGAGGTTGCAGTGAGCCGAGATAACACCACTGCACTCCAGCCTCGGCAACAGTGCGAGACACTGTCTCCCAAAAAAAAAAAAAAAAAGCTGTATTAACAGTATTTTTCAAAAGTTCTTATTTTAGGTAATCGCTGAGAAAGGCTTTAATAAACTTATCAATGATTTTTAAAGTCTTGCATTTTTTTTCCTCAAAAACCTCCCATTTACTACATGAGTTGATCCCATCCTATTTATAGCAGAGAAATTTGGTTATTTTAAAAGAGAAAACAGAGAGAAATAAATGAGTAACTATACAGGAAAGGCAATTTTTTTTTTTTTTTTGGAGATGGAGTCGCATTCTGTTGCCCAGGCTGGAGTGCAGCGGCACCATCCCGGCTCATTACAAGCTCCGCCTCCCGGGTTCACGCCATTCTCCCGCCTCAGCCTCCCCAGTAGCTGGGACTACAGGCACCCGCCACCACGCTTGGCTAATTTTTTCTATTTTTAGTAGAGACAGGGTTTCACTGTGTTAGCCAAGATGGTCTTGATCTCCTGACCTTGTGATCCACCCGCCTCGGCCTCCCAAAGTGCTGGGATTACAGGTGTGAGCCACCGCGCCCGGCCAGAGGAAAGGCAATTCTATGTAAATTAAGAAAATGCTGCTCCATGATCAAACCATGAAGAACTCAATGTCTCAAAATTTTTGCTTAAAAGTAACTCAGTGATGTTGGAATTAGTAGTGATAATTGTACAACGTTGGTATTATTCTAAAAAATACTAAATTGACTGGGCGTGGCAGCTCATCTTATAATCCCAGTACTTTGGGAGGCTGAGGCAGGAAGATTGCCCAAAGCCAGGAGCTCAAAGCCAGCCCAGGAAACAGAGCAAGACCCTGCCTCCTCAAAAAAATTGAAAAACTAGCTAGGCATGGTGGCATGCACCTGTACTCCCAGCTACTTAGGACACTGAAGGTGAAGGGTTACTTGAGTCCAGGAGTTCAAGGCTACAATGAATCATAATTGTGCCAGTGTACTACTCCAGCCTGAGTGACAGAGGAAGACCCTGATTCAAAAATTAAAAAATAAGTCCAGGTGCGGTAGCTTACGCCTGTAATCCCAGCATTTTGGGAGGCCGAGACAGGCAGGTCACAAGATCAAGTGATTGAGACCATCCTGGCCAACATGGTGAAACCCTGTCTCTACTAAAAATACAAAAATTAGCTGGGCATTTTGGGTGCGCGCCTGTAGTCCCAGCTACTTGGGAGGCTAAGGCAGGAGAATCGCCTGAACCCAGGAGGCAGAGGTTGCAGTGAGCCGAGATCGCGCCATTGCACTCTAGCCTGGTGACCAAGCAAGACTCTGTCTCAAAAAAAAAAAAAAAAAAAATTAAAAAATAAAACCTTCATGTATATATTTCATCTGTCTGATTATACCATACGTATATTTAACATAAATGCAGTGGTTTCTCTCCTTTCTACTTTTTTAAAGATAGGGTCCCACTCTGTCATGCAGAGGCATGATCATAACTCACTGCAGCTTTGACCTCCTGGCTCAAGTGATCCTTCTGCCTCAGCCTCCCAAGTAGCTGGGACTACAGGCGTGCACCACTACGCCCAGTTAATTTTTTTTTCTTTTGTAAAGATGAGCTCTTGCTATGTTGCCCAGCCTAGACTTAAACTCCTGGCCTCAAGTGGTCCTCTTGTCTTGGCTTCCAAAAATGCTGGGATTACAGGTGTGAGCCACTGTACCTGGCCCTATTTTTTTTTTTTTTTTTTTTTTTTTTGAGACAGAGTCTCACTCTGTCACCTAGGGTGGAGTGCAGTGGCACGATCTCAGCTCACTGCAAGCTCCGCCTCCTGGGTTCATGCCATTCTCCTTCCTCAGCCTCCAGAGTAGCTGGGACTACAGGCACCCGCTACCACGCCCTGCTAATTTTTTTTTTTTTTTTGTATTTTTAGTAGAGACAGCGTTTTACCGTGTTAGCCAGGATGGTCTCGATATCCTGACCTTGTGATCCACCTGCCTCAGCCTCCAAAAGTGCTGGGATTACAGGCATGAGCCACCGCGCCCGGCCCATTTTTATAATCTTTTTCCCTATACTTAGAAAAAAACTTACAACACTAGAGCAATTATCTGATTTCACAGAATTACACATAATTATTCAGGATAAAAAATGCAACTAGCATGGCAAGGCACTATGGCTCATGCCTGTAATCCCAGCACTTTGGAGGTCAAGGCAGGAGGATCACCTGAGGCCATGAGTTCGAGACCAGGCTGGTCTCGATAAACCCCATAAACACAGATAAACCCCATCTCTTAAAAAAGTAATAATAAAATAAAAATAAACTTAGCCAGGCACTGTAGTGAATGCCTAGTGTCCAAGCTACTCAGGAGGCTGAGGTGGGTGGATCGTTTGAGCCCAGGAATTCAAGGTTATGGTGACCAATGATCACACCACCGCACTCCAGCCTGGGAGACAGAGCAAGACCCTGTCTCTTAAGGGGAAAAAAATTAAAACTAGGCCATTCCCCCTTTTGATCCTGAATTAGTACTACTTATGTCCAATTACCGAACCTTTTAAAATATCAGCTTTGATGGGGACAATAGGAAAGAGAAGAAGGAAGGGAGACAGAAGGAGTGGCTCCAAGTTCCCATATTATTTAGAATACAGTAATTAGTTCAAAATGATT